>NC_000017.11:25736046-25919935 GCF_000001405.40 Homo sapiens | reverse complement strand
TGCGTGCTGGGAGAACCACTGCTCTCTTCAAAGCTGTCAGACAGGGACACTTAAGTCTGCAGAGGTTACTGCTGTCTTTTTGTTTGTCTGTGCCAGCCCCCAGAGGTGGAGCCTACAGAGGCAGGCAGGCCTCCTTGAGCTGTGGTGGGCTCCACCCAGTTCGAGCTTCCCAGCTGCTTTGTTTACCTAAGCAAGCCTGGGCAATGGCGGGCGCCCCTCCCCCAGCCTCGTTGCCGCCTTGCAGTTTGATCTCAGACTGCTGTGCTAGCAATCAGCGAGATTCCGTGGGCGTAGGACCCTCTGAGCCAGGTGTGGGATATAGTCTCGTGGTGCGCCGTTTCTTAAGCCGGTCTGAAAAGCGCAATATTCGGGTGGGAGTGACCCGATTTTCCACGTGCGTCCGTCAACCCTTTCTTTGACTCGGAAAGGGAACTCCCTGACCCCTTGCGCTTCCCAGGTGAGGCAATGCCTCGCTCTGCTTCGGCTCGCGCACGGTGCGCACACACACTGGCCTGAGCCCACTGTCTGGCACTCCCTAGTGAGATGAACCCGGTACCTCAGATGGAAATGCAGAAATCACCCGTCTTCTGCGTCGCTCACGCTGGGAGCTGTAGACCGGAGCTGTTCCTATTCGGCCATCTTGGCTCCTCCTCCTGAACCTTTCTTTGATAGTACAGCTTTGAAACACTCTTTTTGTAGAAACTGCAAGTGGATATTTGGTCCTCTATGAGGATTTCGTTGGAAACGGGATAAACCGCACAGAACTAAACAGATCTATCTAGTATTTAGGTGAAGATATTTCCTTTTCCACCACAAACCACAAAGCCCTCCAAACGTCCACTTGCAGATTCTAGAAAAAGAGTGTTTCATAGCTGCTCTTTCCAAAGGAAAGTTCAACTCTTGGGAGTTGAATACAAACATCACCAAAAAGTTCCTGAGAATGCATCTGTCTAGTTTTTCTATGAAGCTATTCCCTTTACTACCATAGGCCTCAAAGCGCTCCAAATCTCCACTTGCACATTCCACAACAAGAGTGTTTCCAAACTGCTCTATCAATAGGAATGTTCAACTCTGTGAGGTGAATGCAATCATCACAAAGCAGTTTCTGAGAATGCTTCCGTTTAGTTAGGTGCAGATATCCCGTTTCCAACGAAATCCTCAGAGAGGTCCAAATATCCACTTGTAGATTCTACAAAAAGTGTGTCTCAAACCTGCTCCATCCAAAGGAATGTTCAGCTCTGTGATTTAAACTCAATCATCACAAAGTATTTTCTGAGAATGCTTCTGTCTAGATTTTATGCGAAGATATACCCGTTTCGAACGAAGGCCACAGAGTTGTCCAAATAGCCACTTGCAGATCCTACAAAAAGAGTGTTTCAAACCTGAACTATCAAAGGAAGGTTCAACTCTGGGATTTGAATGCAAACATCACCAAGAAGTTTCTGAGAATGCTTCTGTTTAGTTTTTATGTGAAGATATTCCCGTTTCCAAAGACATCTTCGGAGAGGTCCACATATCCACTTGCAGATTCCACAAAAAGAGAGTTTCAACACTGCTCTATCCATAGGAGGGTTCAACTCTGTGAGTTGAATGCAATCATCACAGAGAAGTTTCTGAGAAGGCTTCTCTCCAGTTTTTATGTGACCATAATTCGTTTTCCACCACAGGCCTGAAAGCGCTCCAAATGTCCACTTGCAGACACTACGAAAAGCATGTTTCAGAACTACTCTATGAAAAGCAACGTGAAACTCTGGGAGTTGAACACAAACATCACAGAGAAGTTTCTGAGAATGCTTCTGTTTTAGTTCTGTGCGTTTTATCCCGTTTCCAACGAAATCCTCAGAGAGGCCCAAATATCCACTTGCAGATTCCACAGAAAGAGTGATTGGAAACTGCTGTTTGAAAAGGAACCTTCAACTCTGTGAGTTGAATGCAATCATCACAAAGAAGTTTCTGACAATGCTTCTATCTAGCTTTTACGGGAAGATAATTCCTTTTCCACCACAGGCCTCAAAGCCCTCCAAATGTCCACTTGCAGATTCTGGAAAAAGGGTGTTTCAAAGCTTCTCTCTCGAAAGGAAAGTTCAACTCTGTGAGTTGAATGCAAGCATCACAAAGAAGTTTCTGAGAATGCTACTGTCTAGCTTTTATATGAAGCTATTTCCTTTACTACCATAGGCCTCAAAGCGGTCCATATCTCCACTTGCAGATTCTACACAAAGAGAGTTTCCAAACTGCTCTGTCAAAGGGAATGTTCAACTCTGTGACTTGAATGCAATCATCACAAAGTAGTTTCTGAGAATGCTTCTGTTTTAGTTCTGTGCGGTTTATCCCGTTTCCAACGAAATCCTCAGAGAGGCCCAAATATCCACTTGCAGATTCTACAAATAGTGTGTTTCGAAACTGCTCCATCCAAAGGAATGTTCAGCTCTGTGAGTTAAACTCAGTCGTCACCAAGAGTTTTCTGTGAATGCTTCTGTTTTAGTTCTGTGCGGTTTATCCCGTTTCCAACGAAATCCTCAGAGAGGACCAAACATCCACTTGCAGTTTCTACAAAAAGAGTGTTTCAAAGCTGCACTATCAAAGAAAGGTTCAGCACTGTGAGTTGAATGCAAACATCACGAAGAGGGCTCTGAGAATTCTTCTGTCTTCTTTCTATAGGAAGTTATTTCCTTTACTACGGTAGGCCTCAAAGAAGTGCAATTATCCCCTTGCAGTTTCTACAAAAAGAGTGTTTCAAACCTGAACTATCAAAGAAAGGTTCCACACTGTGAGTTGAATGCAGACATCACGAAGAAGGTTCTGAGAATGCTTCTGTTTAGTCAGCTGAAATTATCCCGTTTCCAACGAATTCCTCAGAGAGGTCCAAATATGCACTTGCAGATTCTGCAGAAAGTGTGTTTCTAAACTGCTACATCGCAAGAATGTTCAGCTCTGTGAGTTCCACTCAATCATCCCAAAGAATTTTCTGAGAAAGCTTCTGTCTAGATGTCATGTGAAGATATACCCGTTTCGAACGAAGGACACAGAGTGGTCCAAATATCCACTTGTAGATCCTGCAAAAAGAGTGTTTCAAACGTGAACTTTGAAAGGAAAGTTCAACTCTGGGATTTGAATGCAAACATCACAAAGAAGATTCTGAGACTGCTTCTGTATAGTTTTTATGTGAAGATGATTCCGTTTCCAACGAAATCTTCAAAGAGGTCTATATGTCCCCTTGCAGATGCCACAGAAAGAGAGTTTCAAAACTGCGCTCTCAAAAGGAGTGTTCAACTCCGTGAGTTGAATGCAGTCATCACAGAGAAGCTTCTGAGAATGCTTCTATCTAGTATTTAGGTGAAGATATTTCCTTTTCCACCACAAACCACAAAGCCCTCCAAACGTCCACTTGCAGATTCTAGAAAAAGAGTGTTTCATAGCTGCTCTTTCCAAAGGAAAGTTCAACTCTGGGAGTTGAATACAAACATCACCAAAAAGTTCCTGAGAATGCATCTGTCTAGTTTTTCTATGAAGCTATTCCCTTTACTTCCACAGGCCTCAAAGCGCTCCAAATCTCCACTTGCACATTCCACAACAAGAGTGTTTCCAAACTGCTCTATCAATAGGAATGTTCAACTCTGTGAGGTGAATGCAATCATCACAAAGCAGTTTCTGAGAATGCTTCCGTTTAGTTAGGTGCAGTTATCCCGTTTCCAACGAAATCCTCAGAGAGGTCCAAATATCCACTTGTAGATTCTACAAAAAGTGTGTCTCAAACCTGCTCCATCCAAAGGAATGGTCAGCTCTGTGATTTAAACTCAATCATCACAAAGTATTTTCTGAGAATGCTTCTCTCCAGTTTTTATGTGACCATAATTCGTTTTCCACCACAGGCCTGAAAGCGATCCAAATGTCCACTTGCAGACACTACGAAAAGCATGTTTCAGAACTACTCTATGAAAAGCAACGTGAAACTCTGGGAGTTGAACACAAACATCACAGAGAAGTTTCTGAGAATGCTTCTGTTTTAGTTCTGTGCGTTTTATCCCGTTTCCAACGAAATCCTCAGAGAGGCCCAAATATCCACTTGCAGATTCCACAGAAAGAGTGATTGGAAACTGCTGTTTGAAAAGGAACCTTCAACTCTGTGAGTTGAATGCAATCATCACAAAGAAGTTTCTGACAATGCTTCTGTTTTAGTTCTGTGCGGTTTATCCCGTTTCCAACGAAATCCTCAGAGAGGACCAAACATCCACTTGCAGTTTCTACAAAAAGAGTGTTTCAAAGCTGCACTATCAAAGAAAGGTTCAGCACTGTGAGTTGAATGCAAACATCACGAAGAGGGCTCTGAGAATTCTTCTGTTTAGTTCTGTGCGGTTTATCCCGTTTCCAACGAAATCCTCAGAGAGGACCAAATATCCACTTGCAGTTTCTACAAGAAGAGTGTTTCAAAGCTGAACTATCAAAGAAAGGTTCAGCACTGTGAGTTGAATGCAAACATCACGAAGAGGGTTCTGAGAATGCTTCTGTCTTCTTTCTATAGGAAGTTATTTCCTTTACTACGGTAGGCCTCAAAGAAGTGCAATTATCCCCTTGCAGTTTCTACAAAAAGAGTGTTTCAAACCTGAACTATCAAAGAAAGGTTCCACACTTGTGAGTTGAATGCAGACATCACGAAGAAGGTTCTGAGAATGCTTCTGTTTAGTCAGCTGAAATTATCCCGTTTCCAACGAATTCCTCAGAGAGGTCCAAATATGCACTTGCAGATTCTGCAGAAAGTGTGTTTCTAAACTGCTCCATCGCAAGGAATGTTCAGCTCTGTGAGTTCCACTCAATCATCCCAAAGAATTTTCTGAGAAAGCTTCTGTCTAGATGTCGTGTGAAGTTATACCCGTTTCGAACGAAGGACACAGAGTGGTCCAAATATCCACTTGTAGATCCTGCAAAAAGAGTGTTTCAAACGTGAACTTTGAAAGGAAAGTTCAACTCTGGGATTTGAATGCAAACATCACAAAGAAGATTCTGAGACTGCTTCTGTATAGTTTTTATGTGAAGATGATTCCGTTTCCAACGAAATCTTCAAAGAGGTCTACATGTCCCCTTGCAGATGCCACAGAAAGGGAGTTTCAAAACTGCGCTCTCAAAAGGAGTGTTCAACTCCGTGAGTTGAATGCAGTCATCACAGAGAAGCTTCTGAGAATGCTTCTATCTAGTATTTAGGTGAAGATATTTCCTTTTCCACCACAAACCACAAAGCCCTCCAAACGTCCACTTGCAGATTCTAGAAAAAGAGTGTTTCATAGCTGCTCTTTCCAAAGGAAAGTTCAACTCTGGGAGTTGAATACAAACATCACCAAAAAGTTCCTGAGAATGCATCTGTCTAGTTTTTCTATGAAGCTATTCCCTTTACTACCATAGGCCTCAAAGCGCTCCAAATCTCCACTTGCACATTCCACAACAGGAGTGTTTCCAAACTGCTCTATCAATAGGAATGTTCAACTCTGTGAGGTGAATGCAATCATCACAAAGCAGTTTCTGAGAATGCTTCCTTTTAGTTAGGTGCAGTTATCCCGTTTCCAACGAAATCCTCAGAGAGGTCCAAATATCCACTTGTAGATTCTACAAAAAGTGTGTCTCAAGCCTGCTCCATCCAAAGGAATGTTCAGCTCTGTGAGTTCAACTCAATCATCACAAAGTATTTTCTGAGAATGCTTCTGTCTAGATTTTATGCGAAGATGTACCCGTTTCGAACGAAGGCCACAGAGTGGTCCAAATATCCACTTGCAGATCCTACAAAAAGAGTGTTTCAAACCTGAACTATCAAAGGAAGGTTCAACTCTGGGATTTGAATGCAAACATCACCAAGAAGTTTCTGAGAATGCTTCTGTTTAGTTTTTATGTGAAGATAGTCCCGTTTCCAAAGACATCTTCGGAGAGGTCCACATATCCACTTGCAGATTCCACAAAAAGAGAGTTTCAACACTGCTCTATCCATAGGAGGGTTCAACTCTGTGAGTTGAATGCAATCATCACAGAGAAGTTTCTGAGAAGGCTTCTCTCCAGTTTTTATGTGACCATAATTCGTTTTCCACCACAGGCCTGAAAGCGCTCCAAATGTCCACTTGCAGACACTACGAAAAGCATGTTTCAGAACTACTCTATGAAAAGCAACGTGAAACTCTGGGAGTTGAACACAAACATCACAGAGAAGTTTCTGAGAATGCTTCTGTTTTAGTTCTGTGCGTTTTATCCCGTTTCCAACGAAATCCTCAGAGAGGCCCAAATATCCACTTGCAGATTCCACAGAAAGAGTGATTGGAAACTGCTGTTTGAAAAGGAACCTTCAACTCTGTGAGTTGAATGCAATCATCACAAAGAAGTTTCTGACAATGCTTCTGTTTTAGTTCTGTGCGGTTTATCCCGTTTCCAACGAAATCCTCAGAGAGGACCAAACATCCACTTGCAGTTTCTACAAAAAGAGTGTTTCAAAGCTGCACTATCAAAGAAAGGTTCAGCACTGTGAGTTGAATGCAAACATCACGAAGAGGGCTCTGAGAATTCTTCTGTCTTCTTTTTATAGGAAGTTATTTCCTTTACTACGGTAGGCCTCAAAGAAGTGCAATTATCCCCTTGCAGTTTCTACAAAAAGAGTGTTTCAAACCTGAACTATCAAAGAAAGGTTCCACACTGTGAGTTGAATGCAGACATCACGAAGAAGGTTCTGAGAATGCTTCTGTTTAGTCAGCTGAAATTATCCCGTTTCCAACGAATTCCTCAGAGAGGTCCACATATGCACTTGCAGATTCTGCAGAAAGTGTGTTTCTAAACTGCTACATCGCAAGGAATGCTCAGCTCTGTGAGTTCAACTCAATCATCCCAAAGAATTTTCTGAGAAAGCTTCTGTCTAGATGTCATGTGAAGATATACCCGTTTCGAACGAAGGATACAGAGTGGTGCAAATATCCACTTGTAGATCCTGCAAAAAGAGTGTTTCAAACGTGAACTTTGAAAGGAAAGTTCAACTCTGGGATTTGAATGCAAACATCACAAAGAAGATTCTGAGACTGCTTCTGTATAGTTTTTATGTGAAGATGATTCCGTTTCCAACGAAATCTTCAAAGAGGTCTACATGTCCCCTTGCAGATGCCACAGAAAGAGAGTTTCAAAACTGCGCTCTCAAAAGGAGTGTTCAACTCCGTGAGTTGAATGCAGTCATCACAGAGAAGCTTCTGAGGATGCTTCTATCTAGTATTTAGGTGAAGATATTTCCTTTTCCACCACAAACCACAAAGCCCTCCAAACGTCCACTTGCAGATTCTAGAAAAAGAGTGTTTCATAGCTGCTCTTTCCAAAGGAAAGTTCAACTCTGGGAGTTGAATACAAACATCACCAAAAAGTTCCTGAGAATGCACTGTCTAGTTTTTCTATGAAGCTATTCCCTTTACTACCATAGGCCTCAAAGCGCTCCAAATCTCCACTTGCACATTCCACAACAAGAGTGTTTCCAAACTGCTCTATCAATAGGAATGTTCAACTCTGTGAGGTGAATGCAATCATCACAAAGCAGTTTCTGAGAATGCTTTCCGTTTAGTTAGGTGCAGTTATCCCGTTTCCAACGAAATCCTCAGAGAGGTCCAAATATCCACTTGTAGATTCTACA
This sequence comes from Homo sapiens, assembly GCF_000001405.40. Lineage (NCBI taxonomy): Eukaryota > Metazoa > Chordata > Mammalia > Primates > Hominidae > Homo > Homo sapiens. The sequence goes on along the minus strand of NC_000017.11, from coordinate 25,912,296 downwards.
AAAGGTGTGTCTCAAACCTGCTCCATCCAAAGGAATGTTCAGCTCTGTGAGTTAAACTCAATCATCACAAAGTATTTTCTGAGAATGCTTCTGTCTAGATTTTATGCGAAGATATACCCGTTTCGAACGAAGGCCACAGAGTGGTCCAAATAGCCACTTGCAGATCCTACAGAAAGAGTGTTTCAAACCTGAACTATCAAAGGAAGGTTCAACTCTGGGATTTGAATGCAAACATCACCAAGAAGTTTCTGAGAATGCTCTGTTTAGTTTTTATGTGAAGATATTCCCGTTTCCAAAGACATCTTCGGAGAGGTCCACATATCCACTTGCAGATTCCACAAAAAGAGAGTTTCAACACTGCTCTATCCATAGGAGGGTTCAACTCTGTGAGTTGAATGCAATCATCACAGAGAAGTTTCTGAGAAGGCTTTCTCTCCAGTTTTTATGTGACCATAATTCGTTTTCCACCACAGGCCTGAAAGCGCTCCAAATGTCCACTTGTAGACACTACGAAAAGCATGTTTCAGAACTACTCTATGAAAAGCAATGTGAAACTCTGGGAGTTGAACACAAACATCACAGAGAAGTTTCTGAGAATGCTTCTGTTTAGCTTTCCTGTGAAGATTCTCCCGTTTCCAACGAAATCTTCAAAATAGGTCCAAATATCCACTTGCAGATTCCACAGAAAGAGTGATTGGAAACTGCTCTTTGAAAAGGAACCTTCAACTCTGTGAGTTGAATGCAATCATCACAAAGAAGTTTCTGACAATGCTTCTATCTAGCTTTTACGGGAAGATAATTCCTTTTCCACCACAGGCCTCAAAGCCCTCCAAATGTCCACTTGCAGATTCTGGAAAAAGAGTGTTTCAAAGCTTCTCTCTCGAAAGGAAAGTTCAACTCTGTGAGTTGAATGCAAGCATCACAAAGAAGTTTCTGAGAATGCTACTGTCTAGCTTTTATATGAAGCTATTTCCTTTACTACCATAGGCCTCAAAGCGGTCCATATCTCCACTTGCAGATTCTACACAAAGAGAGTTTCCAAACTGCTCTGTCAAAGGGAATGTTCAACTCTGTGACTTGAATGCAATCATCACAAAGTAGTTTCTGAGAATGCTTCTGTTTTAGTTCTGTGCGTTTTATCCCGTTTCCAACGAAATCCTCAGAGAGGCCCAAATATCCACTTGCAGATTCTACAAATAGTGTGTTTCGAAACTGCTCCATCCAACGGAATGTTCAGCTCTGTGAGTTAAACTCAGTCGTCACCAAGAGTTTTCTGTGAATGCTTCTGTTTTAGTTCTGTGCGGTTTATCCCGTTTCCAACGAAATCCTCAGAGAGGACCAAATATCCACTTGCAGTTTCTACAAAAAGAGTGTTTCAAAGCTGCACTATCAAAGAAAGGTTCAGCACTGTGAGTTGAATGCAAACACCACGAAGAGGGCTCTGAGAATTCTTCTGTCTTCTTTCTATAGGAAGTTATTTCCTTTACTACGGTAGGCCTCAAAGAAGTGCAATTATCCCCTTGCAGTTTCTACAAAAAGAGTGTTTCAAACCTGAACTATCAAAGAAAGGTTCCACACTGTGAGTTGAATGCAGACATCACGAAGAAGGTTCTGAGAATGCTTCTGTTTAGTCAGCTGAAATTATCCCGTTTCCAACGAATTCCTCACAGAGGTCCAAATATGCACTTGCAGATTCTGCAGAAAGTGTGTTTCTAAACTGCTACATCGCAAGGAATGCTCAGCTCTGTGAGTTCAACTCAATCATCCCAAAGAATTTTCTGAGAAAGCTTCTGTCTAGATGTCATGTGAAGATATACCCGTTTCGAACGACGTACACAGAGTGGTCCAAATATCCACTTGTAGATCCTGCAAAAAGAGTGTTTCAAACGTGAACTTTGAAAGGAAAGTTCAACTCGGGGATTTGAATGCAAACATCACAAAGAAGATTCTGAGACTGCTTCTGTATAGTTTTTATGTGAAGATGATTCCGTTTCCAACGAAATCTTCAAAGAGGTCTACATGTCCCCTTGCAGATGCCACAGAAAGAGAGTTTCAAAACTGCGCTCTCAAAAGGAGTGTTCAACTCCGTGAGTTGAATGCAGTCATCACAGAGAAGCTTCTGAGGATGCTTCTATCTAGTATTTAGGTGAAGATATTTCCTTTTCCACCACAAACCACAAAGCCCTCCAAACGTCCACTTGCAGATTCTAGAAAAACAGTGTTTCATAGCTGCTCTTTCCAAAGGAAAGTTCAACTCTGGGAGTTGAATACAAACATCACCAAAAAGTTTCCTGAGAATGCATCTGTCTAGTTTTTCTATGAAGCTATTCCCTTTACTACCATAGGCCTCAAAGCGCTCCAAATCTCCACTTGCACATTCCACAACAAGAGTGTTTCCAAACTGCTCTATCAATAGGAATGTTCAACTCTGTGAGGTGAATGCAATCATCACAAAGCAGTTTCTGAGAATGCTTCCGTTTAGTTAGGTGCAGTTATCGCGTTTCCAACGAAATCCTCAGAGAGGTCCAAATATCCACTTGTAGATTCTACAAAAAGTGTGTCTCAAACCTGCTCCATCCAAAGGAATGTTCAGCTCTGTGAGTTAAACTCAATCATCACAAAGTATTTTCTGAGAATGCTTCTGTCTGGATTTTATGCGAAGATATACCCGTTTCGAACGAAGGCCACAGAGTGGTCCAAATATCCACTTGCAGATCCTACAAAAAGAGTGTTTCAAACCTGAACTATCAAAGGAAGGTTCAACTCTGGGATTTGAATGCAAACATCACCAAGAAGTTTCTGAGAATGCTTCTGTTTAGTTTTTATGTGAAGATATTCCCGTTTCCAAAGACATCTTCGGAGAGGTCCACATATCCACTTGCAGATTCCACAAAAAGAGAGTTTCAACACTGCTCTATCCATAGGAGGGTTCAACTCTGTGAGTTGAATGCAATCATCACAGAGAAGTTTCTGAGAAGGCTTCTCTCCAGTTTTTATGTGACCATAATTCGTTTTCCACCACAGGCCTGAAAGCGCTCCAAATGTCCACTTGTAGACACTACGAAAAGCATGTTTCAGAACTACTCTATGAAAAGCAATGTGAAACTCTGGGAGTTGAACACAAACATCACAGAGAAGTTTCTGAGAATGCTTCTGTTTAGCTTTCCTGTGAAGATTCTCCCGTTTCCAACGAAATCTTCAAAATAGGTCCAAATATCCACTTGCAGATTCCACAGAAAGAGTGATTGGAAACTGCTCTTTGAAAAGGAACCTTCAACTCTGTGAGTTGAATGCAATCATCACAAAGAAGTTTCTGACAATGCTTCTATCTAGCTTTTACGGGAAGATAATTCCTTTTCCTCCACAGGCCTCAAAGCTCCCCAAATGTCCACTTGCACATTCTGGAAAAAGAGTGTTTCAAAGCTTCTCTCTCGAAAGGAAAGTTCAACTCTGTGAGTTGAATGCAAGCATCACAAAGAAGTTTCTGAGAATGCTACTGTCTAGCTTTTATATGAAGCTATTTCCTTTACTACCATAGGCCTCAAAGCGGTCCATATCTCCACTTGCAGATTCTACACAAAGAGAGTTTCCAAACTGCTCTGTCAAAGGGAATGTTCAACTCTGTGACTTGAATGCAATAATCACAAAGTAGTTTCTGAGAATGCTTCTGTTTTAGTTCTGTGCGTTTTATCCCGTTTCCAACGAAATCCTCAGAGAGGCCCAAATATCCACTTGCAGATTCTACAAATAGTGTGTTTCGAAACTGCTCCATCCAAAGGAATGTTCAGCTCTGTGAGTTAAACTCAGTCGTCACCAAGAGTTTTCTGTGAATGCTTCTGTTTTAGTTCTGTGCGGGTTATCCCGTTTCCAACGAAATCCTCAGAGAGGTCCAAATATCTACTTGCAGTTTCTACAGAAAGACCGTTTCAAACCTGAACTATCAAAGAAAGGTTCAACACTGTGAGTTGAATGCAAACATCACGAAGAAGGTTCTGAGAATGCTTCTGTTTAGTTCTGTGCAGTTTATCCCGTTTCCAACGAAATCCTCAGAGAGGACCAAATATCCACTTGCAGTTTCTACAAAAAGAGTGTTTCAAAGCTGAACTATCAAAGAAAGGTTCAGCACTGTGAGTTGAATGCAAACATCACGAAGAGGGTTCTGAGAATGCTTCTGTCTTCTTTTTATAGGAAGTTATTTCCTTTACTACGGTACTCCTCAAAGAGTGCAATTATCCCCTTGCAGTTTCTACAAAAAGAGTGTTTCAAACCTGAACTATCAAAGAAAGGTTCCACACTGTGAGTTGAATGCAGACATCACGAAGAAGGTTCTGAGAATGCTTCTGTTTAGTCAGCTGAAATTATCCCGTTTCCAACGAATTCCTCAGAGAGGTCCAAATATGCACTTGCAGATTCTGCAGAAAGTGTGTTTCTAAACTGCTACATCGCAAGGAATGTTCAGCTCTGTGAGTTCCACTCAATCATCCCAAAGAATTTTCTGAGAAAGCTTCTGTCTAGATGTCGTGTGAAGATATACCCGTTTCGAACGAAGGACACAGAGTGGTCCAAATATCCACTTGTAGATCCTGCAAAAAGAGTGTTTCAAACGTGAACTTTGAAAGGAAAGTTCAACTCTGGGATTTGAATGCAAACATCACAAAGAAGATTCTGAGACTGCTTCTGTATAGTTTTTATGTGAAGATGATTCCGTTTCCAACGAAATCTTCAAAGAGGTCTACATGTCCCCTTGCAGATGCCACAGAAAGAGAGTTTCAAAACTGCGCTCTCAAAAGGAGTGTTCAACTCCGTGAGTTGAATGCAGTCATCACAGAGAAGCTTCTGAGAATGCTTCTATCTAGTATTTAGGTGAAGATATTTCCTTTTCCACCACAAACCACAAAGCCCTCCAAACGTCCACTTGCAGATTCTAGAAAAAGAGTGTTTCATAGCTGCTCTTTCCAAAGGAAAGTTCAACTCTGGGAGTTGAATACAAACATCACCAAAAAGTTCCTGAGAATGCATCTGTCTAGTTTTTCTATGAAGCTATTCCCTTTACTTCCACAGGCCTCAAAGCGCTCCAAATCTCCACTTGCACATTCCACAACAAGAGTGTTTCCAAACTGCTCTATCAATAGGAATGTTCAACTCTGTGAGGTGAATGCAATCATCACAAAGCAGTTTCTGAGAATGCTCCGTTTAGTTAGGTGCAGTTATCCCGTTTCCAACGAAATCCTCAGAGAGGTCCAAATATCCACTTGTAGATTCTACAAAAAGTGTGTCTCAAACCTGCTCCATCCAAAGGAATGGTCAGCTCTGTGATTTAAACTCAATCATCACAAAGTATTTTCTGAGAATGCTTTCTGTCTAGATTTTATGCGAAGATATACCCGTTTCGAACGAAGGCCACAGAGTGGTCCAAATAGCCACTTGCAGATCCTACAGAAAGAGTGTTTCAAACCTGAACTATCAAAGGAAGGTTCAACTCTGGGATTTGAATGCAAACATCACCAAGAAGTTTCTGAGAATGCTTCTGTTTAGTTTTTATGTGAAGATATTCCCGTTTCCAAAGACATCTTCGGAGAGGTCCACATATCCACTTGCAGGTTCCACAAAAAGAGAGTTTCAACACTGCTCTATCCATAGGAGGGTTCAACTCTGTGAGTTGAATGCAATCATCACAGAGAAGTTTCTGAGAAGGCTTCTCTCCAGTTTTTATGTGACCATAATTCGTTTTCCACCACAGGCCTGAAAGCGCTGCAAATGTCCACTTGCAGACACTACGAAAAGCATGTTTCAGAACTACTCTATGAGAAGCAATGTGAATCTCTGGGAGTTGAACACAAACATCACAGAGAAGTTTCTGAGAATGCTTCTGTTTAGCTTTTCTGTGAAGATTCTCCCGTTTCCAACGAAATCTTCAAAGAGGTCCAAATATCCACTTGCAGATTCCACAGAAAGAGTGATTGGAAACTGCTCTTTGAAAAGGAACCTTCAACTCTGTGACTTGAATGCAATCATCACAAAGAAGTTTCTGACAATGCTTCTATCTAGCTTTTACGGGAAGATAATTCCTTTTCCACCACAGACCTCAAAGCCCTCCAAATGTCCACTTGCAGATTCTGGAAAAAGAGTGTTTCAAAGCTTCTCTCTCGAAAGGAAAGTTCAACTCTGTGAGTTGAATGCAAGCATCACAAAGAAGTTTCTGAGAATGCTACTGTCTAGCTTTTATATGAAGCTATTTCCTTTACTACCATAGGCCTCAAAGCGGTCCATATCTCCACTTGCAGATTCTACACAAAGAGAGTTTCCAAACTTCTCTGTCAAAGGGAATGTTCAACTCTGTGACTTGAATGCAATCATCACAAAGTAGTTTCTGAGAATGCTTCTGTTTATTTCTTTGCCATTTATCCCGTTTCCAACGAAATCCTCAGAGAGGCCCAAATATCCACTTGCACATTCTACAAATAGTGTGTTTCGAAACTGCTCCATCCAAAGGAATGTCCAGCTCTGTGAGTTAAACTCAGTCGTCACCAAGAGTTTTCTGTGAATGCTTCTGTTTTAGTTCTGTGCGGTTTATCCTGTTTCCAACGAAATCCTCAGAGAGGTCAAAATATCTACTTGCAGTTTCCACAGAAAGACCGTTTCAAACCTGAACTATCAAAGAAAGGTTCAACACTGTGAGTTGAATGCAAACATCACGAAGAAGGTTTAGAGAATACTTCTGTTTTAGTTCTGTGCGGTTTATCCCGTTTCCAACGAAATCCTCAGAGAGGACCAAATATCCACTTGCAGTTTCTACAAAAAGAGTGTTTCAAAGCTGCACTATCAAAGAAAGGTTCAGCACTGTGAGTTGAATGCAAACATCACGAAAAGGGCTCTGAGAATTCTTCTGTTTAGTTCTGTGCGGTTTATCCCGTTTCCAACGAAATCCTCAGAGAGGACCAAATATCCACTTGCAGTTTCTACAAGAAGAGTGTTTCAAAGCTGAACTATCAAAGAAAGGTTCAGCACTGTGAGTTGAATGCAAACATCACGAAGAGGGTTCTGAGAATGCTTCTGTCTTCTTTTTATAGGAAGTTATTTCCTTTACTACGGTAGGCCTCAAAGAAGTGCAATTATCCCCTTGCAGTTTCCACAAAAAGAGTGTTTCAAACCTGAACTATCAAAGAAAGGTTCCACACTGTGAGTTGAATGCAGACATCACGAAGAAGGTTCTGAGAATGCTTCTGTTTAGTCAGCTGAAATTATCCCGTTTCCAACGAATTCCTCACAGAGGTCCAAATATGCACTTGCAGATTCTGCAGAAAGTGTGTTTCTAAACTGCTACATCGCAAGGAATGCTCAGCTCTGTGAGTTCAACTCAATCATCCCAAAGAATTTTCTGAGAAAGCTTCTGTCTAGATGTCGTGTGAAGATATACCCGTTTCGAACGAAGGACACAGAGTGGTCCAAATATCCACTTGTAGATCCTGCAAAAAGAGTGTTTCAAACGTGAACTTTGAAAGGAAAGTTCAACTCTGGGATTTGAATGCAAACATCACAAAGAAGATTCTGAGACTGCTTCTGTATAGTTTTTATGTGAAGATGATTCCGTTTCCAACGAAATCTTCAAAGAGGTCAACATGTCCCCTTGCAGATGCCACAGAAAGAGAGTTTCAAAACTGCGCTCTCAAAAGGAGTGTTCAACTCCGTGAGTTGAATGCAGTCATCACAGAGAAGCTTCTGAGAATGCTTCTATCTAGTATTTAGGTGAAGATATTTCCTTTTCCACCACAAACCACAAAGCCCTCCAAACGTCCACTTGCAGATTCTAGAAAAAGAGTGTTTCATAGCTGCTCTTTCCAAAGGAAAGTTCAACTCTGGGAGTTGAATACAAACATCACCAAAAAGTTCCTGAGAATGCATCTGTCTAGTTTTTCTATGAAGCTATTCCCTTTACTACCATAGGCCTCAAAGCGCTCCAAATCTCCACTTGCACATTCCACAACAAGAGTGTTTCCAAACTGCTCTATCAATAGGAATGTTCAACTCTGTGAGGTGAATGCAATCATCACAAAGCAGTTTCTGAGAATGCTTCCGTTTAGTTAGGTGCAGTTATCCCGTTTCCAACGAAATCCTCAGAGAGGGTCCAAATATCCACTTGTAGATTCTACAAAAAGTGTGTCTCAAACCTGCTCCATCCAAAGGAATGGTCAGCTCTGTGATTTAAACTCAATCATCACAAAGTATTTTCTGAGAATGCTTCTGTCTAGATTTTATGCGAAGATGTACCCGTTTCGAACGAAGGCCACAGAGTGGTCCAAATATCCACTTGCAGATCCTACAAAAAGAGTGTTTCAAACCTGAACTCTCAAAGGAAGGTTCAACTCTGGGATTTGAATGCAAACATCACCAAGAAGTTTACTGAGAATGCTTCTGTTTAGTTTTTATGTGAAGATATTCCCGTTTCCAAAGACATCTTCGGAGAGGTCCACATATCCACTTGCAGATTCCACAAAAAGAGAGTTTCAACACTGCTCTATCCATAGGAGGGTTCAACTCTGTGAGTTGAATGCAATCATCACAGAGAAGTTTCTGAGAAGGCTTCTCTCCAGTTTTTATGTGACCATAATTCGTTTTCCACCACAGGCCTGAAAGCGCTCCAAATGTCCACTTGCAGACACTACGAAAAGCATGTTTCAGAACTACTCTATGAAAAGCAACGTGAAACTCTGGGAGTTGAACACAAACATCACAGAGAAGTTTCTGAGAATGCTTCTGTTTAGCTTTTCTGTGAAGATTCTCCCGTTTCCAACGAAATCTTCAAAGAGGTCCAAATATCCACTTGCAGATTCCACAGAAAGAGTGATTGGAAACTGCTGTTTGAAAAGGAACCTTCAACTCTGTGAGTTGAATGCAATCATCACAAAGAAGTTTCTGACAATGCTTCTATCTAGCTTTTACGGGAAGTTAATTCCTTTTCCACCACAGGCCTCAAAGCCCTCCAAATGTCCACTTGCAGATTCTGGAAAAAGAGTGTTTCAAAGCTTCTCTCTCGAAAGGAAAGTTCAACTCTGTGAGTTGAATGCAAGCATCACAAAGAAGTTTCTGAGAATGCTACTGTCTAGCTTTTATATGAAGCTATTTCCTTTACTACCATAGGCCTCAAAGCGGTCCATATCTCCACTTGGAGATTCTACACAAAGAGAGTTTCCAAACTGCTCTGTCAAAGGGAATGTTCAACTCTGTGACTTGAATGCAATCATCACAAAGTAGTTTCTGAGAATGCTTCTGTTTAGTTCTGTGCGGTTTATCCCGTTTCCAACGAAATCCTCAGAGAGGCCTAAATATCCACTTGCACATTCTACAAATAGTGTGTTTCGAAACTGCTCCATCCAAAGGAATGTTCAGCTCTGTGAGTTAAACTCAGTCGTCACCAAGAGTTTTCTGTGAATGCTTCTGTTTTAGTTCTGTGCGGGTTATCCCGTTTCCAACGAAATCCTCAGAGAGGTCCAAATATCTACTTGCAGTTTCTACAGAAAGACCGTTTCAAACCTGAACTATCAAAGAAAGGTTCAACACTGTGAGTTGAATGCAAACATCACGAAGAAGGTTCTGAGAATGCTTCTGTTTAGTTCTGTGCAGTTTATCCCGTTTCCAACGAAATCCTCAGAGAGGACCAAATATCCACTTGCAGTTTCTACAAAAAGAGTGTTTCAAAGCTGAACTATCAAAGAAAGGTTCAGCACTGTGAGTTGAATGCAAACATCACGAAGAGGGTTCTGAGAATGCTTCTGTCTTCTTTTTATAGGAAGTTATTTCCTTTACTACGGTACTCCTCAAAGAGTGCAATTATCCCCTTGCAGTTTCTACAAAAAGAGTGTTTCAAACCTGAACTATCAAAGAAAGGTTCCACACTGTGAGTTGAATGCAGACATCACGAAGAAGGTTCTGAGAATGCTTCTGTTTAGTCAGCTGAAATTATCCCGTTTCCAACGAATTCCTCAGAGAGGTCCAAATATGCACTTGCAGATTCTGCAGAAAGTGTGTTTCTAAACTGCTACATCGCAAGGAATGTTCAGCTCTGTGAGTTCCACTCAATCATCCCAAAGAATTTTCTGAGAAAGCTTCTGCCTAGATGTCGTGTGAAGATATACCCGTTTCGAACGAAGGACACAGAGTGGTCCAAATATCCACTTGTAGATCCTGCAAAAAGAGTGTTTCAAACGTGAACTTTGAAAGGAAAGTTCAACTCTGGGATTTGAATGCAAACATCACAAAGAAGATTCTGAGACTACTTCTGTATAGTTTTGATGTGAAGATGATTCCGTTTCCAACGAAATCTTCCAAGAGGTCTACATGTCCCCTTGCAGATGCCACAGAAAGAGAGTTTCAAAACTGCGCTCTCAAAAGGAGTGTTCAACTCCGTGAGTTGAATGCAGTCATCACAGAGAAGCTTCTGAGAATGCTTCTATCTAGTATTTAGGTGAAGATATTTCCTTTTCCACCACAAACCACAAAGCCCTCCAAACGTCCACTTGCAGATTCTAGAAAAAGAGTGTTTCATAGCTGCTCTTTCCAAAGGAAAGTTCAACTCTGGGAGTTGAACACAAACATCACCAAAAAGTTCCTGAGAATGCATCTGTCTAGTTTTTCTATGAAGCTATTCCCTTTACTACCATAGGCCTCAAAGCGCTCCAAATCTCCACTTGCACATTCCACAACAAGAGTGTTTCCAAACTGCTCTATCAATAGGAATGTTCAACTCTGTGAGGTGAATGCAATCATCACAAAGCAGTTTCTGAGAATGCTTCCGTTTAGTTAGGTGCAGTTATCCCGTTTCCAACGAAATCCTCAGAGAGGTCCAAATATCCACTTGTAGATTCTACAAAAAGTGTGTCTCAAACCTGCTCCATCCAAAGGAATGTTCAGCTCTGTGATTTTAACTCAATCATCACAAAGTATTTTCTGAGAATGCTTCTGTCTAGATTTTATGCGAAGATATACCAGTTTCGAACGAAGGCCAAAGAGTGGTCCAAATAGCCACTTGCAGATCCTACAAAAAGAGTGTTTCAAACCTGAACTATCAAAGGAAGGTTCAACTCTGGGATTTGAATGCAAACATCCCCAAGAAGTTTCTGAGAATGCTTCTGTTTAGTTTTTATGTGAAGATATTCCCGTTTCCAAAGACATCTTCGGAGAGGTCCACATAGCCACTTGCAGATTCCACAAAAAGAGAGTTTCAACACTGCTCTATCCATAGGAGGGTTCAACTCTGTGAGTTGAAATGCAATCATCACAGAGAAGTTTCTGAGAAGGCTTCTCTCCAGTTTTTATGGGACCATAATTCGTTTTCCACCACAGGCCTGAAAGCGCTCCAAATGTCCACTTGCAGACACTACGAAAAGCATGTTTCAGAACTACTCTATGAAAAGCAATGTGAAACTCTGGGAGTTGAACACAAACATCACAGAGAAGTTTCTGAGAATGCTTCTGTTTTAGTTCTGTGCGTTTTATCCCGTTTCCAACGAAATCCTCAGAGAGGCCCAAATATCCACTTGCAGATTCCACAGAAAGAGTGATTGGAAACTGCTGTTTGAAAAGGAACCTTCAACTCTGTGAGTTGAATGCAATCATCACAAAGAAGTTTCTGACAATGCTTCTATCTAGCTTTTACGGGAAGATAATTCCTTTTCCACCACAGGCCTCAAAGCCCTCCAAATGTCCACTTGCAGATTCTGGAAAAAGAGTGTTTCAAAGCTTCTCTCTCGAAAGGAAAGTTCAACTCTGTGAGTTGAATGCAAGCATCACAAAGAAGTTTCTGAGAATGCTACTGTCTAGCTTTTATATGAAGCTATTTCCTTTACTACCATAGGCCTCAAAGCGGTCCATATCTCCACTTGCAGATTCTACACAAAGAGAGTTTCCAAACTGCTCTGTCAAAGGGAATGTTCAACTCTGTGACTTGAATGCAATCATCACAAAGTAGTTTCTGAGAATGCTTCTGTTTAGTTCTGTGCGGTTTATCCCGTTTCCAACGAAATCCTCAGAGAGGCCCACATATCCACTTGCACATTCTACAAATAGTGTGTTTCGAAACTGCTCCATCCAAAGGAATGTTCAGCTCTGTGAGTTAAACTCAGTCGTCTCCAAGAGTTTTCTGTGAATGCTTCTGTTTTAGTTCTGTGCGGTTTATCCCGTTTCCAACGAAATCCTCAGAGAGCTCCAAATATCTACTTGCAGTTTCTACAGAAAGACCGTTTCAAACCTGAACTATCAAAGAAAGGTTCAACACTGTGAGTTGAATGCAAACATCACGAAGAAGGTTCTGAGAATGCTTCTGTTTAGTTCTGTGCGGTTTATCCCGTTTCCAACGAAATCCTCAGAGAGGACCAAATATCCACCTGCAGTTTCTACAAAAAGAGTGTTTCAAAGCTGAACTATCAAAGAAAGGTTCAGCACTGTGAGTTGAATGCAAACATCACGAAGAGGGTTCTGAGAATGCTTCTGTCTTCTTTTTATAGGAAGTTATTTCCTTTACTACGGTAGGCCTCAAAGAAGTGCAATTATCCCCTTGCAGTTTCTACAAAAAGAGTGTTTCAAACCTGAACTATCAAAGAAAGGTTCCACACTGTGAGTTGAATGCAGACATCACGAAGAAGGTTCTGAGAATGCTTCTGTTTAGTCAGCTGAAATTATCCCGTTTCCAACGAATTCCTCAGAGAGGTCCAAATATGCACTTGCAGATTCTGCAGAAAGTGTGTTTCTAAACTGCAACATCACAGGGAATGTTCAGCTCTGTGAGTTCAACTCAATCATCCCAAAGAATTTTCTGAGAAAGCTTCTATCTAGATGTCATGTGAAGATATACCCGTTTCGAACGAAGGACACTGATTGGTCCAAATATCCACTTGTAGATCCTGCAAAAAGAGTGTTTCAAACGTGAACTTTGAAAGGAAAGTTCAACTCTGGGATTTGAATGCAAACATCACAAAGAAGATTCTGAGACTGCTTCTGTATAGTTTTTATGTGAAGATGATTCCGTTTCCAACGAAATCTTCAAAGAGGTCTACATGTCCCCTTGCAGATGCCACAGAAAGAGATTTTCAAAACTGCGCTCTCAAAAGGAGTGTTCAACTCCGTGAGTTGAATGCAGTCATCACAGAGAAGCTTCTGAGAATGCTTCTATCTAGTATTTAGGTGAAGATATTTCCTTTTCCACCACAAACCACAAAGCCCTCCAAACGTCCACTTGCAGATTCTAGAAAAAGAGTGTTTCATAGCTGCTCTTTCCAAAGGAAAGTTCAACTCTGGGAGTTGAATACAAACATCACCAAAAAGTTCCTGAGAATGCATCTGTCTAGTTTTTCTATGAAGCTATTCCCTTTACTACCATAGGCCTCAAAGCGCTCCAAATCTCCACTTGCACATTCCACATGAAGAGTGTTTCCAAACTGCTCTATCAATAGGAATGTTCAACTCTGTGAGGTGAATGCAATCATCACAAAGCAGTTTCTGAGAATGCTTCCGTTTAGTTAGGTGCAGTTATACCGTTTCCAACGAAATCCTCAGAGAGGTCTAAATATCCACTTGTAGATTCTACAAAAAGTGTGTCTCAAACGTGGTCCATCCAAAGGAATGTTCAGCTCTGTGAGTTAAACTCAATCATCACAAAGAATTTTCTGAGAATGCTTCTGTCTAGATTTTATGCGAAGATGTACCCGTTTCGAACGAAGGCCACAGAGTGGTCCAAATATCCACTTGCAGATCGTACAGAAAGAGTGTTTCAAATCTGACCTATCAAAGGAAGTTTCAACTCTGGGATTTGAATGCAAACATCACCAAGAAGTTTCTGAGAATGCTTCTGTTTAGTTTTTATGTGAAGATATTCCCGTTTCCAAAGACATCTTCGGAGAGGTCCACATATCCACTTGCAGATTCCACAAAAAGAGAGTTTCAACACTGCTCTATCCATAGGAGGGTTCAACTCTGTGAGTTGAATGCAATCATCACAGAGAAGTTTCTGAGAAGGCTTCTCTCCAGTTTTTATGTGACCATAATTCGTTTTCCACCACAGGCCTGAAAGCGCTCCAAATGTCCACTTGCAGACACTACGAAAAGCATGTTTCAGAACTACTCTATGAAAAGCAACGTGAAACTCTGGGAGTTGAACACAAACATCACAGAGAAGTTTCTGAGAATGCTTCTGTTTTAGTTCTGTGCGGTTTATCCCGTTTCCAACGAAATCCTCAGAGAGGCCCAAATATCCACTTGCAGATTCCACAAAAAGAGTGATTGGAAAGTGCTGTTTGAAAAGGAACCTTCAACTCTGTGAGTTGAATGCAATCATCACAAAGAAGTTTCTGACAATGCTTCTGTTTTAGTTCTGTGCGGTTTATCCCGTTTCCAACGAAATCCTCAGAGAGGACCAAACATCCACTTGCAGTTTCTACAAAAAGAGTGTTTCAAAGCTGCACTATCAAAGAAAGGTTCAGCACTGTGAGTTGAATGCAAACATCACGAAGAGGGCTCTGAGAATTCTTCTGTCTTCTTTCTATAGGAAGTTATTTCCTTTACTACGGTAGGCCTCAAAGAAGTGCAATTATCCCCTTGAAGTTTCTACAAAAAGAGTGTTTCAAACCTGAACTATCAAAGAAAGGTTCCACACTGTGAGTTGAATGCAGACATCACGAAGAAGGTTCTGAGAATGTTTCTGTTTAGTCAGCTGAAATTATCCCGTTTCCAACGAATTCCTCAGAGAGGTCCAAATATGCACTTGCAGATTCTGCAGAAAGTGTGTTTCTAAACTGCTACATCGCAAGGAATGTTCAGCACTGTGAGTTCCACTCAATCATCCCAAAGAATTTTCCTGAGAAAGCTTCTGTCTAGATGTCATGTGAAGATATACCCGTTTCGAACGAAGGACACAGAGTGGTCCAAATATCCACTTGTAGATCCTGCAAAAAGAGTGTTTCAAACGTGAACTTTGAAAGGAAAGTTCAACTCTGGGATTTGAATGCAAACATCACAAAGAAGATTCTCAGACTGCTTCTGTATAGTTTTTATGTGAAGATGATTCCGTTTCCAACGAAATCTTCAAAGAGGTCTACATGTCCCCTTGCAGATGCCACAGAAAGAGAGTTTCAAAACTGCGCTCTCAAAAGGAGTGTTCAACTCCGTGAGTTGAATGCAGTCATCACAGAGAAGCTTCTGAGAATGCTTCTATCTAGTATTTAGGTGAAGATATTTCCTTTTCCACCACAAACCACAAAGCCCTCCAAACGTCCACTTGCAGATTCTAGAAAAAGAGTGTTTCATAGCTGCTCTTTCCAAAGGAAAGTTCAACTCTGGGAGTTGAATACAAACATCACCAAAAAGTTACCTGAGAATGCATCTGTCTAGTTTTTCTATGAAGCTATTCCCTTTACTACCATAGGCCTCAAAGCGCTCCAAATCTCCACTTGCACATTCCACAACAAGAGTGTTTCCAAACTGCTCTATCAATAGGAATGTTCAACTCTGTGAGGTGAATGCAATCATCACAAAGCAGTTTCTGAGAATGCTTCCGTTTATTTAGGTGCAGTTATCCCGTTTCCAACGAAATCCTCAGAGAGGTCCAAATATCCACTTGTAGATTCTACAAAAAGTGTGTCTCAAACCTGCTCCATCCAAAGGAATGTTCAGCTCTGTGAGTTCAACTCAATCATCACAAAGTATTTTCTGAGAATGCTTCTGTCTAGATTTTATGCGAAGATGTAATCGTTTCGAACGAAGGCCACAGAGTGGTCCAAATATCCACTTGCAGATCCTACAAAAAGAGTGTTTCAAACCTGAACTATCAAAGGAAGGTTCAACTCTGGGATTTGAATGCAAACATCACCAAGAAGTTTCTGAGAATGCTTCTGTTTAGTTTTTATGTGAAGATATTCCCGTTTCCAAAGACATCTTCGGAGAGGTCCACATATCCACTTGCAGATTCCACAAAAAGAGAGTTTCAACACTGCTCTATCCATAGGAGGGTTCAACTCTGTGAGTTGAATGCAATCATCACAGAGAAGTTTCTGAGAAGGCTTCTCTCCAGTTTTTATGTGACCATAATTCGTTTTCCACCACAGGCCTGAAAGCGCTCCAAATGTCCACTTGCAGACACTACGAAAAGCATGTTTCAGAACTACTCTATGAAAAGCAACGTGAAACTCTGGGAGTTGAACACAAACATCACAGAGAAGTTTCTGAGAATGCTTCTGTTTAGCTTTTCTGTGAAGATTCTCCCGTTTCCAACGAAATCTTCAAAGAGGTCGAAATATCCACTTGCAGATTCCACAGAAAGAGTGATTGGAAACTGCTGTTTGAAAAGGAACCTTCAACTCTGTGAGTTGAATGCAATCATCACAAAGAAGTTTCTGACAATGCTTCTATCTAGCTTTTACGGGAAGATAATTCCTTTCCCTCCACAGGCCTCAAAGCTCCCCAAATGTCCACTTGCACATTCTGGAAAAAGAGTGTTTCAAAGCTTCTCTCTCGAAAGGAAAGTTCAACTCTGTGAGTTGAATGCAAGCATCACAAAGAAGTTTCTGAGAATGCTACTGTCTAGCTTTTATATGAAGCTATTTCCTTTACTACCATAGGCCTCAAAGCGGTCCATATCTCCACTTGCAGATTCTACACAAAGAGAGTTTCCAAACTGCTCTGTCAAAGGGAATGTTCAACTCTGTGACTTGAATGCAATCATCACAAAGTAGTTTCTGAGAATGCTTCTGTTTAGTTCTCTGCGGTTTATCCCGTTTCCAACGAAATCCTCAGAGAGGCCCCAATATCCACTTGCACATTCTACAAATAGTGTGTTTCGAAACTGCTCCATCCAAAGGAATGTTCAGCTCTGTGAGTTAAACTCAGTCGTCACCAAGAGTTTTCTGTGAATGCTTCTGTTTTAGTTCTGTGCGGTTTATCCCGTTTCCAACGAAATCCTCAGAGAGGTCCAAATATCTACTTGCAGTTTCTTCAGAAAGACCGTTTCAAACCTGAACTATCAAAGAAAGGTTCAACACTGTGAGTTGAATGCAAACATCACGAAGAAGGTTCTGAGAATGCTTCTGTTTAGTTCTGTGCGGTTTATCCCGTTTCCAACGAAATCCTCAGAGAGGACCAAATATCCACTTGCAGTTTCTACAAGAAGAGTGTTTCAAAGCTGAACTATCAAAGAAAGGTTCAGCACTGTGAGTTGAATGCAAACATCACGAAGAGGGTTCTGAGAATGCTTCTGTCTTCTTTTTATAGGAAGTTATTTCCTTTACTACGGTAGGCCTCAAAGAAGTGTAATTATCCCCTTGCAGTTTCTACAAAAAGAGTGTTTCAAACCTGAACTATCAAAGAAAGGTTCCACACTGTGAGTTGAATGCAGACATCACGAAGAAGGTTCTGAGAATGCTTCTGTTTAGTCAGCTGAAATTATCCCGTTTCCAACGAATTACTCTGAGAGGTCCAAATATGCACTTGCAGATTCTGCAGAAAGTGTGTTTCTAAACTGCTACATCGCAAGGAATGTTCAGCTCTGTGAGTTCAACTCAATCATCCCAAAGAATTTTCTGAGAAAGCTTCTGTCTAGATGTCGTGTGAAGATATACCCGTTTCGAACGAAGGACACAGAGTGGTCCAAATATCCACTTGTAGATCCTGCAAAAAGAGTGTTTCAAACGTGAACTTTGAAAGGAAAGTTCAACTCTGGGATTTGAATGCAAACATCACAAAGAAGATTCTGAGACTACTTCTGTATAGTTTTTATGTGAAGATGATTCCGTTTCCAACGAAATCTTCAAAGAGGTCTACATGTCCCCTTGCAGATGCCACAGAAAGGGAGTTTCAAAACTGCGCTCTCAAAAGGAGTGTTCAACTCCGTGAGTTGAATGCAGTCATCACAGAGAAGCTTCTGAGAAAGCTTCTATCTAGTATTTAGGTGAAGATATTTCCTTTTCCACCACAAACCACAAAGCCCTCCAAACGTCCACTTGCAGATTCTAGAAAAAGAGTGTTTCATAGCTGCTCTTTCCAAAGGAAAGTTCAACTCTGGGAGTTGAATACAAACATCACCAAAAAGTTCCTGAGAATGCATCTGTCTAAGTTTTTCTATGAAGCTATTCCCTTTACTACCATAGGCCTCAAAGCGCTCCAAATCTCCACTTGCACATTCCACAACAAGAGTGTTTCCAAACTGCTCTATCAATAGGAATGTTCAACTCTGTGAGGTGAATGCAATCATCACAAAGCAGTTTCTGAGAATGCTTCCGTTTAGTTAGGTGCAGTTATCCCGTTTCCAACGAAATCCTCAGAGAGGTCCAAATATCCACTTGTAGATTCTACAAAAAGTGTGTCTCAAACCTGCTCCATCCAAAGGAATGGTCAGCTCTGTGATTTAAACTCAATCATCACAAAGTATTTTCTGAGAATGCTTCTGTCTAGATTTTATGCGAAGATATACCCGTTAAGAACGAAGGCCACAGAGTGGTCCAAATAGCCACTTGCAGATCCTACAAAAAGAGTGTTTCAAACCTGAACTATCAAAGGAAGGTTCAACTCTGGGATTTGAATGCAAACATCACCAAGAAGTTTCTGAGAATGCTTCTGTTTAGTTTTTATGTGAAGATATTCCCGTTTCCAAAGACATCTTCGGAGAGGTCCACATATCCACTTGCAGATTCCACAAAAAGAGAGTTTCAACACTGCTCTATCCATAGGAGGGTTCAACTCTGTGAGTTGAATGCAATCATCACAGAGAAGTTTCTGAGAAGGCTTCTCTCCAGTTTTTATGTGACCATAATTCGTTTTCCACCACAGGCCTGAAAGCGCTCCAAATGTCCACTTGCAGACACTACGAAAAGCATGTTTCAGAACTACTCTATGAAAAGCAACGTGAAACTCTGGGAGTTGAACACAAACATCACAGAGAAGTTTCTGAGAATGCTTCTGTTTAGCTTTTCTGTGAACATTCTCCCGTTTCCAAAGAAATCTTCAAAGAGGTCCAAATATCCACTTGCGGATTCCACAGAAAGAGTGGTTGGAAACTGCTGTTTGAAAAGGAACCTTCAACTCTGTGAGTTGAACGCAATCATCACAAAGAAGTTTCTGACAATGCTTCTATCTAGCTTTTACGGGAAGATAATTCCTTTGCCACCACACGCCTCAAAGCCCTCCAAATGTCCACTTGCAGATTCTGGAAAAAGAGTGTTTCAAAGCTTCTCTCTCGAAAGAAAAGTTCAACTCTGTGAGTTGAATGCAAGCATCACAAAGAAGTTTCTGAGAATGCTACTGTCTAGCTTTTATATGAAGCTATTTCCTTTACTACCATAGGCCTCAAAGCGGTCCATATCTCCACTTGCAGATTCTACACAAAGAGAGTTTCCAAACTGCTCTGTCAAAGGGAATGTTCAACTCTGTGACTTGAATGCAATCATCCAAAGTAATTTCTGAGAATGCTTCTGTTTAATTCTGTGCGGTTTATCCCGTTTCCAACGAAATCCTCAGA
Source organism: Homo sapiens (assembly GCF_000001405.40). Classification (NCBI taxonomy): domain Eukaryota; kingdom Metazoa; phylum Chordata; class Mammalia; order Primates; family Hominidae; genus Homo; species Homo sapiens. Next base: position 25,892,801 of record NC_000017.11, on the reverse strand, counting down.
GAGGCCCCAATATCCACTTGCACATTCTACAAATAGTGTGTTTCGAAACTGCTCCATCCAAAGGGATGTTCAGCTCTGTGAGTTAAACTCAGTCGTCACCAAGAGTTTTCTGTGAATGCTTCTGTTTTAGTTCTGTGCGGTTTATCCCGTTTCCAACGAAATCCTCAGAGAGGTCCAAATATCTACTTGCAGTTTCTACAGAAAGACCGTTTCAAACCTGAACTATCAAAGAAAGGTTCAACACTGTGAGTTGAATGCAAACATCACGAAGAAGGTTCTGAGAATGCTTCTGTTTTAGTTCTGTGCGGTTTATCCCGTTTCCAACGAAATCCTCAGAGAGGACCAAATATCCACTTGCAGTTTCTACAAAAAGAGTGTTTCAAAGCTGAACTATCAAAGAAAGGTTCAGCACCGTGAATTGAATGCAAACATCACGAAGAGGGTTCTGAGAATGTTTCTGTTTAGTTCTGTGCGGTTTATCCCGTTTCCAAAGAAATCCTCAGAGAGGACCAAATATCCACTTGCAGTTTCTACAAAAAGAGTGTTTCAAAGCTGAAGTATCAAAGAAACGTTCAGCACTGTGAGTTTAATGCAAACATCACGAAGAGGGTTCTGAGAATGCTTCTGTCTTCTTTTTATAGGAAGTTATTTCCTTTACTACGGTAGGCCTCAAAGAAGTGCAGTTATACCCTTGCAGTTTCTACAAAAAGAGTGTTTCAAACCTGAACTATCAAAGAAAGGTTCCACACTGTGAGTTGAATGCAGACATCACGAAGAAGGTTCTGAGAATGCTTCTGTTTAGTCAGCTGAAATTATCCCGTTTCCAACGAATTCCTCACAGAGGTCCAAATATGCACTTGCAGATTCTGCAGAAAGTGTGTTTCTAAACTGCTACATCGCAAGGAATGCTCAGCTCTGTGAGTTCAACTCAATCATCCCAAAGAATTTTCTGAGAAAGCTTCTGTCTAGATGTCATGTGAAGATATACCCGTTTCGAACGAAGGACACAGAGTGGTCCAAATATCCACTTGTAGATCCTGCAAAAAGAGTGTTTCAAACGTGAACTTTGAAAGGAAAGTTCAACTCTGGGATTTGAATGCAAACATCACAAAGAAGATTCTGAGACTGCTTCTGTATAGTTTTTATGTGAAGATGATTCCGTTTCCAACGAAATCTTCAAAGAGGTCTACATGTCCCCTTGCAGATGCCACAGAAAGAGAGTTTCAAAACTGCGCTCTCAAAAGGAGTGTTCAACTCCGTGAGTTGAATGCAGTCATCACAGAGAAGCTTCTGAGAATGCTTCTGTCTAGTATTTAGGTGAAGATATTTCCTTTTCCACCACAAACCACAAAGCCCTCCAAACGTCCACTTGCAGATTCTAGAAAAAGAGTGTTTCATAGCTGCTCTTTCCAAAGGAAAGTTCAACTCTGGGAGTTGAATACAAACATCACCAAAAAGTTCCTGAGAATGCATCTGTCTAGTTTTTCTATGAAGCTATTCCCTTTACTACCACAGGCCTCAAAGCGCTCCAAATCTCCACTTGCACATTCCACAACAAGAGTGTTTCCAAACTGCTCTATCAATAGGAATGTTCAACTCTGTGAGGTGAATGCAATCATCACAAAGCAGTTTCTGAGAATGCTTCCGTTTAGTTAGGTGCAGTTATCCCGTTTCCAACGAAATCCTCAGAGAGGTCCAAATATCCACTTGTAGATTCTACAAAAAGTGTGTCTCAAACCTGCTCCATCCAAAGGAATGTTCAGCTCTGTGAGTTAAACTCAATCATCACGAAGTATTTTCTGAGAATGCTTCTGTCTAGATTTTATGCGAAGATATACCCGTTTCGAACGAAGGCCACAGAGTGGTCCAAATATCCACTTGCAGATCCTACAAAAAGAGTGTTTCAAACCTGAACTATCAAAGGAAGGTTCAACTCTGGGATTTGAATGCAAACATCACCAAGAAGTTTCTGAGAATGCTTCTGTTTAGTTTTTATGTGAAGATATTCCCGTTTCCAAAGACATCTTCGGAGAGGTCCACATATCCACTTGCAGATTCCACAAAAAGAGAGTTTCAACACTGCTCTATCCATAGGAGGGTTCAACTCTGTGAGTTGAATGCAATCATCACAGAGAAGTTTCTGAGAAGGCTTCTCTCCAGTTTTTATGTGACCATAATTCGTTTTCCACCACAGGCCTGAAAGCGCTCCAAATGTCCACTTGTAGACACTACGAAAAGCATGTTTCAGAACTACTCTATGAAAAGCAATGTGAAACTCTGGGAGTTGAACACAAACATCACAGAGAAGTTTCTGAGAATGCTTCTGTTTAGCTTTCCTGTGAAGATTCTCCCGTTTCCAACGAAATCTTCAAAATAGGTCCAAATATCCACTTGCAGATTCCACACAAAGAGTGATTGGAAACTGCTCTTTGAAAAGGAACCTTCAACTCTGTGAGTTGAATGCAATCATCACAAAGAAGTTTCTGACAATGCTTCCATCTAGCTTTTACGGGAAGATAATTCCTTTTCCACCACAGGCCTCAAAGCCCTCCAAATGTCCACTTGCAGATTCTGGAAAAAGAGTGTTTCAAAGCTTCTCTCTCGAAAGGAAAGTTCAACTCTGTGAGTTGAATGCAAGCATCACAAAGAAGTTTCTGAGAATGCTACTGTCTAGCTTTTATATGAAGCTATTTCCTTTACTACCATAGGCCTCAAAGCGGTCCATATCTCCACTTGCAGATTCTACAGAAAGAGAGTTTCCAAACTGCTCTGTCAAAGGGAATGTTCAACTCTGTGACTTGAATGCAATCATCACAAAGTAGTTTCTGAGAATGCTTCTGTTTAGTTCTGTGCGGTTTATCCCGTTTCCAACGAAATCCTCAGAGAGGCCCAAATATCCACTTGCACATTCTACAAATAGTGTGTTTCGAAACTGCTCCATCCAAAGGAATGTTCAGCTCTGTGAGTTAAACTCAGTCGTCACCAAGAGTTTTCTGTGAATGCTTCTGTTTTAGTTCTGTGCGGGTTATCCCGTTTCCAACGAAATCCTCAGAGAGGTCCAAATATCTACTTGCAGTTTCTACAGAAAGACCGTTTCAAACCTGAACTATCAAAGAAAGGTTCAACACTGTGAGTTGAATGCAAACATCACGAAGAAGGTTCTGAGAATGCTTCTGTTTAGTTCTGTGCAGTTTATCCCGTTTCCAACGAAATCCTCAGAGAGGACCAAATATCCACTTGCAGTTTCTACAAAAAGAGTGTTTCAAAGCTGAACTATCAAAGAAAGGTTCAGCACTGTGAGTTGAATGCAAACATCACGAAGAGGGTTCTGAGAATGCTTCTGTCTTCTTTCTATAGGAAGTTATTTCCTTTACTACGGTAGGCCTCAAAGAAGTGCAATTATCCCCTTGCAGTTTCTACAAAAAGAGTGTTTCAAACCTGAACTATCAAAGAAAGGTTCCACACTGTGAGTTGAATGCAGACATCACGAAGAAGGTTCTGAGAATGCTTCTGTTTAGTCAGCTGAAATTATCCCGTTTCCAACGAATTCCTCAGAGAGGTCCACATATGCACTTGCAGATTCTGCAGAAAGTGTGTTTCTAAACTGCTACATCGCAAGGAATGTTCAGATCTGTGAGTTCAACTCAATCATCCCAAAGAATTTTCTGAGAAAGCTTCTGTCTAGATGTCATGTGAAGATATACCCGTTTCGAACGAAGGACACAGAGTGGTCCAAATATCCACTTGTAGATCCTGCAAAAAGAGTGTTTCAAACGTGAACTTTGAAAGGAAAGTTCAACTCTGGGATTTGAATGCAAACATCACAAAGAAGATTCTGAGACTGCTTCTGTATAGTTTCTATGTGAAGATGATTCCGTTTCCAACGAAATCTTCAAAGAGGTCTACATGTCCCCTTGCAGATGCCACAGAAAGAGAGTTTCAAAACTGCGCTCTCAAAAGCAGTGTTCAACTCCGTGAGTTGAATGCAGTCATCACAGAGAAGCTTCTGAGAATGCTTCTATCTAGTATTTAGGTGAAGATATTTCCTTTTCCACCACAAACCACAAAGCCCTCCAAACGTCCACTTGCAGATTCTAGAAAAAGAGTGTTTCATAGCTGCTCTTTCCAAAGGAAAGTTCAACTCTGGGAGTTGAATACAAACATCACCAAAAAGTTCCTGAGAATGCATCTGTCTAGTTTTTCTATGAAGCTATTCCCTTTACTACCATAGGCCTCAAAGCGCTCCAAATCTCCACTTGCACATTCCACAACAAGAGTGTTTCCAAACTGCTCTATCAATAGGAATGGTCAACTCTGTGAGGTGAATGCAATCATCACAAAGCAGTTTCTGAGAATGCTTCCGTTTAGTTAGGTGCAGTTATCCCGTTTCCAACGAAATCCTCAGTAGAGGTCCAAATATCCACTTGTAGATTCTACAAAAAGTGTGTCTCAAACCTGCTCCATCCAAAGGAATGTTCAGCTCTGTGAGTTAAACTCAATCATCACAAAGTATTTTCTGAGAATGCTTCTGTCTAGATTTTATGCGAAGATATACCCGTTTCGAACGAAGGCCACAGAGTGGTCCAAATAGCCACTTGCAGATCCTACAAAAAGAGTGTTTCAAACCTGAACTGTCAAAGGAAGGTTCAACTCTGGGATTTGAATGCAAACATCACCAAGAAGTTTCTGAGAATGCTTCTGTTTAGTTTTTATGTGAAGATATTCCCGTTTCCAAAGACATCTTCGGAGAGGTCCACATATCCACTTGCAGATTCCACAAAAAGAGAGTTTCAACACTGCTCTATCCATAGGAGGGTTCAACTCTGTGAGTTGAATGCAATCATCACAGAGAAGTTTCTGAGAAGGCTTCTCTCCAGTTTTTATGTGACCATAATTCGTTTTCCACCACAGGCCTGAAAGCGCTCCAAATGTCCACTTGCAGACACTACGAAAAGCATGTTTCAGAACTACTCTATGAAAAGCAATGTGAAACTCTGGGAGTTGAACACAAACATCACAGTGAAGTTTCTGAGAATGCTTCTGTTTAGCTTTTCTGTGAAGATTCTCCGGTTTCCAACGAAATCTTCAAAGAGGTCCAAATATCCACTTGCAGATTCCACAGAAAGAGTGATTGGAAACTGCTCTTTGAAAAGGAACCTTCAACTCTGTGAGTTGAATGCAATCATCACAAAGAAGTTTCTGACAATGCTTCTATCTAGCTTTTACGGGAAGATAATTCCTTTTCCACCACAGGCCTCAAAGCTCCCCAAATGTCCACTTGCACATTCTGGAAAAAGAGTGTTTCAAAGCTTCTCTCTCGAAAGGAAAGTTCAACTCTGTGAGTTGAATGCAAGCATCACAAAGAAGTTTCTGAGAATGCTACTGTCTAGCTTTTATATGAAGCTATTTCCTTTACTACCATAGGCCTCAAAGCGGTCCATATCTCCACTTGCAGATTCTACACAAAGAGAGTTTCCAAACTGCTCTGTCAAAGGGAATGTTCAACTCTGTGACTTGAATGCAATCATCACAAAGTAGTTTCTGAGAATGCTTCTGTTTTAGTTCTGTGCGTTTTATCCCGTTTCCAACGAAATCCTCAGAGAGGCCCCAATATCCACTTGCAGATTCTACAAATAGTGTGTTTCGAAACTGCTCCATCCAAAGGAATGTTCAGCTCTGTGAGTTAAACTCAGTCGTCACCAAGAGTTTTCTGTGAATGCTTCTGTTTTAGTTCTGTGCGGTTTATCCCGTTTCCAACGAAATCCTCAGAGAGGACCAAACATCCACTTGCAGTTTCTACAAAAAGAGTGTTTCAAAGCTGCACTATCAAAGAAAGGTTCAGCACTGTGAGTTGAATGCAAACATCTCGAAGAGGGCTCTGAGAATGCTTCTGTTTAGTTCTGTGCGGTTTATCCCGTTTCCAACGAAATCCTCAGAGAGGACCAAATATCCACTTGCAGTTTCTACAAGAAGAGTGTTTCAAAGCTGAACTATCAAAGAAAGGTTCAGCACTGTGAGTTGAATGCAAACATCACGAAGAGGGTTCTGAGAATGCTTCTGTCTTCTTTCTATAGGAAGTTATTTCCTTTACTACGGTAGGCCTCAAAGAAGTGCCATTATCCCCTTGCAGTTTCTACAAAAAGAGTGTTTCAAACCTGAACTATCAAAGAAAGGTTCCACACTGTGAGTTGAATGCAGACATCACGAAGAAGGTTCTGAGAATGCTTCTGTTTAGTCAGCTGAAATTATCCCGTTTCCAACGAATTCCTCACAGAGGTCCAAATATGCACTTGCAGATTCTGCAGAAAGTGTGTTTCTAAACTGCTACATCGCAAGGAATGCTCAGCTCTGTGAGTTCAACTCAATCATCCCAAAGAATTTTCTGAGAAAGCTTCTGTCTAGATGTCATGTGAAGATATACCCGTTTCGAACGAAGGACACAGAGTGGTCCAAATATCCACTTGTAGATCCTGCAAAAAGAGTTTTTCAAACGTGAACTTTGAAAGGAAAGTTCAACTCGGGGATTTGAATGCAAACATCACAAAGAAGATTCTGAGACTGCTTCTGTATAGTTTTTATGTGAAGATGATTCCGTTTCCAACGAAATCTTCAAAGAGGTCTACATGTCCCCTTGCAGATGCCACAGAAAGAGAGTTTCAAAACTGCGCTCTCAAAAGGAGTGTTCAACTCCGTGAGTTGAATGCAGTCATCACAGAGAAGCTTCTGAGGATGCTTCTATCTAGTATTTAGGTGAAGATATTTCCTTTTCCACCACAAACCACAAAGCCCTCCAAACGTCCACTTGCAGATTCTAGAAAAACAGTGTTTCATAGCTGCTCTTTCCAAAGGAAAGTTCAACTCTGGGAGTTGAATACAAACGTCACCAAAAAGTTCCTGAGAATGCATCTGTCTAGTTTTTCTATGAAGCTATTCCCTTTACTACCATAGGCCTCAAAGCGCTCCAAATCTCCACTTGCACATTCCACAACAAGAGTGTTTCCAAACTGCTCTATCAATAGGAATGTTCAACTCTGTGAGGTGAATGCAATCATCACAAAGCAGTTTCTGAGAATGCTTCCGTTTAGTTCGGTGCAGTTATCCCGTTTCCAACGAAATCCTCAGAGAGGTCGAAATATCCACTTGTAGATTCTACAAAAAGTGTGTCTCAAACCTGCTCCAACCAAAGGAATGTTCAGCTCTGTGAGTTAAACTCAATCATCACAAAGTATTTTCTGAGAATGCTTCTGTCTAGATTTTATGCGAAGATGTACCCGTTTCGAACGAAGGCCACAGAGTGGTCCAAATATCCACTTGAAGATCCTACAAAAAGAGTGTTTCAAACCTGAACTATCAAAGGAAGGTTCAACTCTGGGATTTGAATGCAAACATCACCAAGAAGTTTCTGAGAATGCTTCTGTTTAGTTTTTATGTGAAGATATTCCCGTTTCCAAAGACATCTTCGGAGAGGTCCACATATCCACTTGCAGATTCCACAAAAAGAGAGTTTCAACACTGCTCTATCCATAGGAGGGTTCAACTCTGTGAGTTGAATGCAATCATCACAGAGAAGTTTCTGAGAAGGCTTCTCTCCAGTTTTTATGTGACCATAATTCGTTTTCCACCTCAGGCCTGAAAGTGCTCCAAATGACCACTTGCAGACACTACGAAAAGCATGTTTCAGAACTACTCTATGAAAAGCAATGTGAAACTCTGGGAGTTGAACACAAACATCAGAGAGAAGTTTCTGAGAATGCTTCTGTTTAGCTTTTCTGTGAAGGTTATCCCGTTTCCAACGAAATCTTCAAAGAGGTCCAAACATCCACTTGCAGATTCCACAGAAAGAGTGTTTGGAAACTGCTGTTTGAAAAGGAACCTTCAACTCTGTGAGTTGAATGCAATCATCACAAAGAAGTTTCTGACAATGCTTCTATCCAGCTTTTACGGGAAGATAATTCCTTTTCCACCACAGGCCTCAAAGCCCTCCAAATGTCCACTTGCAGATTCTGGAAAAAGAGTGTTTCAAAGCTTCTCTCTCGAAAGGAAAGTTCAACTCTGTGAGTTGAATGCAAGCATCACAAAGAAGTTTCTGAGAATGCTACTGTCTAGCTTTTATATGAAGCTATTTCCTTTACTACCATAGGCCTCAAAGCGGTCCATATCTCCACTTGCAGATTCTACACAAAGAGAGTTTCCAAACTGCTCTGTCAAAGGGAATGTTCAACTCTGTGACTTGAATGCAATCATCACAAAGTAGTTTCTGAGAATGCTTCTGTTTTAGTTCTGTGCGTTTTATCCCGTTTCCAACGAAATCCTCAGAGAGGCCCAAATATCCACTTGCAGATTCTACAAATAGTGTGTTTCGAAACTGCTCCATCCAAAGGAATGTTCAGCTCTGTGAGTTAAACTCAGTCGTCACCAAGAGTTTTCTGTGAATGCTTCTGTTTTAGTTCTGTGCGGTTTATCCCGTTTCCAACGAAATCCTCAGAGAGGACCAAATATCCACTTGCAGTTTCTACAAAAAGAGTGTTTCAAAGCTGCACTATCAAAGAAAGGTTCAGCACTGTGAGTTGAATGCAAACATCACGAAGAGGGCTCTGAGAATTCTTCTGTCTTCTTTCTATAGGAAGTTATTTCCTTTACTACGGTAGGCCTCAAAGAAGTGCAATTATCCCCTTGCAGTTTCTACAAAAAGAGTGTTTCAAACCTGAACTATCAAAGAAAGGTTCCACACTGTGAGTTGAATGCAGACATCACGAAGAAGGTTCTGAGAATGCTTCTGTTTAGTCAGCTGAAATTATCCCGTTTCCAACGAATTCCTCAGAGAGGTCCAAATATGCACTTGCAGATTCTGCAGAAAGTGTGTTTCTAAACTGCTACATCGCAAGGAATGTTCAGCTCTGTGAGTTCCACTCAATCATCCCAAAGAATTTTCTGAGAAAGCTTCTGTCTAGATGTCCTGTGAAGATATACCCGTTTCGAACGAAGGACACAGAGTGGTCCAAATATCCACTTGTAGATCCTGCAAAAAGAGTGTTTCAAACGTGAACTTTGAAAGGAAAGTTCAACTCTGGGATTTGAATGCAAACATCACAAAGAAGATTCTGAGACTGCTTCTGTATAGTTTTTATGTGAAGATGATTCCGTTTCCAACGAAATCTTCAAAGAGGTCTACATGTCCCCTTGCAGATGACACAGAAAGAGAGTTTCAAAACTGCGCTCTCAAAAGGAGTGTTCAACTCCGTGAGTTGAATGCAGTCATCACAGAGAAGCTTCTGAGAATGCTTCTATCTAGTATTTAGGTGAAGATATTTCCTTTTCCACCACAAACCACAAAGCCCTCCAAACGTCCACTTGCAGATTCTAGAAAAAGAGTGTTTCATAGCTGCTCTTTCCAAAGGAAAGTTCAACTCTGGGAGTTGAATACAAACATCACCAAAAAGTCCCTGAGAATGCATCTGTCTAGTTTTTCTATGAAGCTATTCCCTTTACTACCATAGGCCTCAAAGCGCTCCAAATCTCCACTTGCACATTCCACAACAAGAGTGTTTCCAAACTGCTCTATCAATAGGAATGTTCAACTCTGTGAGGTGAATGCAATCATCACAAAGCAGTTTCTGAGAATGCTTCCGTTTAGTTAGGTGCAGTTATCCCGTTTCCAACGAAATCCTCAGAGAGGTCCAAATATCCACTTGTAGATTCTACAAAAAGTGTGTCTCAAACCTGCTCCATCCAAAGGAATGTTCAGCTCTGTGAGTTCAACTCAATCATCACAAAGTATTTTCTGAGAATGCTTTCTGTCTAGATTTTATGCGAAGATGTACCCGTTTCGAACGAAGGCCACAGAGTGGTCCAAATATCCACTTGCAGATCCTACAAAAAGAGTGTTTCAAACCTGAACTCTCAAAGGAAGGTTCAACTCTGGGATTTGAATGCAAACATCACGAAGAAGTTTCTGAGAATGCTTCTGTTTAGTTTTTATGTGAAGATATTCCCGTTGCCAAAGACATCTTCGGAAAGGTCCACATATTTGCTTGCAGATTCCACAAAAAGAGAGTTTCAACACTGCTCTATCCATAGGAGGGTTCAACTCTGTGAGTTGAATGCAATCATCACAGAGAAGTTTCTGAGAAGGCTTCTCTCCAGTTTTTATGTGACCATAATTCGTTTTCCACCACAGGCCTGAAAGCGCTCCAAATGTCCACTTGCAGACACTACGAAAAGCATGTTTCAGAACTACTCTATGAAAAGCAACGTGAAACTCTGGGAGTTGAACACAAACATCACAGAGAAGTTTCTGAGAATGCTTCTGTTTTAGTTCTGTGCGTTTTATCCCGTTTCCAACGAAATCCTCAGAGAGGCCCAAATATCCACTTGCAGATTCCACAGAAAGAGTGATTGGAAACTGCTGTTTGAAAAGGAACCTTCAACTCTGTGAGTTGAATGCAATCATCACAAAGAAGTTTCTGACAATGCTTCTATCTAGCTTTTACGGGAAGATAATTCCTTTTCCACCACAGGCCTCAAAGCCCTCCAAATGTCCACTTGCAGATTCTGGAAAAAGAGTGTTTCAAAGCTTCTCTCTCGAAAGGAAAGTTCAACTCTGTGAGTTGAATGCAAGCATCACAAAGAAGTTTCTGAGAATGCTGCTGTCTAGCTTTTATATGAAGCTATTTCCTTTACTACCATAGGCCTCAAAGCGGTCCATATCTCCACTTGCAGATTCTACGCAAAGAGAGTTTCCAAACTGCTCTGTCAAAGGGAATGTTCAACTCTGTGACTTGAATGCAATCATCACAAAGTAGTTTCTGAGAATGCTTCTGTTTAGTTCTGTGCGGTTTATCCCGTTTCCAACGAAATCCTCAGAGAGGCCCAAATATCCACTTGCACATTCTACAAATAGTGTGTTTCGAAACTGCTCCATCCAAAGGAATGTTCAGCTCTGTGAGTTAAACTCAGTCGTCACCAAGAGTTTTCTGTGAATGCTTCTGTTTTAGTTCTGTGCGGTTTATCCCGTTTCCAACGAAATCCTCAGAGAGGTCCAAATATCTACTTGCAGTTTCTACAGAAAGACCGTTTCAAACCTGAACTATCAAAGAAAGGTTCAACACTGTGAGTTGAATGCAAACATCACGAAGAAGGTTCTGAGAATGCTTCTGTTTAGTTCTGTGCAGTTTATCCCGTTTCCAACGAAATGCTCAGAGAGGACCAAATATCCACTTGCAGTTTCTACAAAAAGAGTGTTTCAAAGCTGAACTATCAAAGAAAGGTTCAGCACTGTGAGTTGAATGCAAACATCACGAAGAGGGTTCTGAGAATGCTTCTGTCTTCTTTTTATAGGAAGTTATTTCCTTTACTACGGTACTCCTCAAAGAGTGCAATTATCCCCTTGCAGTTTCTACAAAAAGAGTGTTTCAAACCTGAACTATCAAAGAAAGGTTCCACACTGTGAGTTGAATGCAGACATCACGAAGAAGGTTCTGAGAATGCTTCTGTTTAGTCAGCTGAAATTATCCCGTTTCCAACGAATTCCTCAGAGAGGTCCAAATATGCACTTGCAGATTCTGCAGAAAGTGTGTTTCTAAACTGCTACATCGCAAGGAATGTTCAGCTCTGTGAGTTCCACTCAATCATCCCAAAGAATTTTCTGAGAAAGCTTCTGTCTAGATGTCGTGTGAAGATATACCCGTTTCGAACGAAGGACACAGAGTGGTCCAAATATCCACTTGTAGATCCTGCAAAAAGAGTGTTTCAAACGTGAACTTTGAAAGGAAAGTTCAACTCTGGGATTTGAATGCAAACATCACAAAGAAGATTCTGAGACTGCTTCTGTATAGTTTTTATGTGAAGATGATTCCGTTTCCAACGAAATCTTCAAAGAGGTCTACATGTCCCCTTGCAGATGCCACAGAAAGAGAGTTTCAAAACTGCGCTCTCAAAAGGAGTGTTCAACTCTGTGAGCTGAATGCAGTCATCACAGAGAAGCTTCTGAGAATGCTTCTATCTAGTATTTAGGTGAAGATATTTCCTTTTCCACCACAAACCACAAAGCCCTCCAAACGTCCACTTGCAGATTCTAGAAAAAGAGTGTTTCATAGCTGCTCTTTCCAAAAGAAAGTTCAACTCTGGGAGTTGAATACAAACATCACCAAAAAGTTCCTGAGAATGCGTCTGTCTAGTTTTTCTATGAAGCTATTCCCTTTACTACCATAGGCCTCAAAGCGCTCCAAATCTCCACTTGCACATTCCACAACAAGAGTGTTTCCAAACTGCTCTATCAATAGGAATGTTCAACTCTGTGAGGTGAATGCAATCATCACAAAGCAGTTTCTGAGAATGCTTCCGTTTAGTTAGGTGCAGTTATCCCGTTTCCAACGAAATCCTCAGAGAGGTCCAAATATCCACTTGTAGATTCTACAAAAAGTGTGTCTCAAACCTGCTCCATCCAAAGGAATGTTCAGCTCTGTGAGTTAAACTCTATCATCACAAAGTATTTTCTGAGAATGCTTCTGTCTAGATTTTATGCGAAGATGTACCCGTTTCGAACGAAGGCCACAGAGTGGTCCAAATATCCACTTGCAGACCCTACAAAAAGAGTGTTTCAAACCTGAACTATCAAAGGAAGATTCAACTCTGGGATTTGAATGCAAACATCACCAAGAAGTTTCTGAGAATGCTTCTGTTTAGTTTTTATGTGAAGATATTCCCGTTTCCAAAGACATCTTCGGAGAGGTCCACATATCCACTTGCAGATTCCACAAAAAGAGAGTTTCAACACTGCTCTATCCATAGGAGGGTTCAACTCTGTGAGTTGAATGCAATCATCACAGAGAAGTTTCTGAGAAGGCTTCTCTCCAGTTTTTATGTGACCATAATTCGTTTTCCACCACAGGCCTGAAAGCGCTCCAAATGTCCACTTGCAGACACTACGAAAAGCATGTTTCAGAACTACTCTATGAAAAGCAACGTGAAACTCTGGGAGTTGAACACCAAACATCACAGAGAAGTTTCTGAGAATGCTTCTGTTTTAGTTCTGTGCGTTTTATCCCGTTTCCAACGAAATCCTCAGAGAGGCCCAAATATCCACTTGCAGATTCCACAGAAAGAGTGATTGGAAACTGCTGTTTGAAAAGGAACCTTCAACTCTGTGAGTTGAATGCAATCATCACAAAGAAGTTTCTGACAATGCTTCTGTTTTAGTTCTGTGCGGTTTATCCCGTTTCCAACGAAATCCTCAGAGAGGACCAAACATCCACTTGCAGTTTCTACAAAAAGAGTGTTTCAAAGCTGCACTATCAAAGAAAGGTTCAGCACTGTGAGTTGAATGCAAACATCACGAAGAGGGCTCTGAGAATTCTTCTGTCTTCTTTCTATAGGAAGTTATTTCCTTTACTACGGTAGGCCTCAAAGAAGTGCAATTATCCCCTTGCAGTTTCTACAAAAAGAGTGTTTCAAACCTGAACTATCAAAGAAAGGTTCCACACTGTGAGTTGAATGCAGACATCACGAAGAAGGTTCTGAGAATGCTTCTGTTTAGTCAGCTGAAATTATCCCGTTTCCAACGAATTCCTCAGAGAGGTCCAAATATGCACTTGCAGATTCTGCAGAAAGTGTGTTTCTAAACTGCTACATCGCAAGGAATGTTCAGCTCTGTGAGTTCCACTCAATCATCCCAAAGAATTTTCTGAGAAAGCTTCTGTCTAGATGTCGTGTGAAGTTATACCCGTTTCGAACGAAGGACACAGAGTGGTCCAAATATCCACTTGTAGATCCTGCAAAAAGAGTGTTTCAAACGTGAACTTTGAAAGGAAAGTTCAACTCTGGGATTTGAATGCAAACATCACAAAGAAGATTCTGAGACTGCTTCTGTATAGTTTTTATGTGAAGATGATTCCGTTTCCAACGAAATCTTCAAAGAGGTCTACATGTCCCCTTGCAGATGCCACAGAAAGAGAGTTTCAAAACTGCGCTCTCAAAAGGAGTGTTCAACTCCGTGAGTTGAATGCAGTCATCACAGAGGAGCTTCTGAGAATGCTTCTATCTAGTATTTAGGTGAAGATATTTCCTTTTCCACCACAAACCACAAAGCCCTCCAAACGTCCACTTGCAGATTCTAGAAAAAGAGTGTTTCATAGCTGCTCTTTCCAAAGGAAAGTTCAACTCTGGGAGTTGAATACAAACATCACCAAAAAGTTCCTGAGAATGCATCTGTCTAGTTTTTCTATGAAGCTATTCCCTTTACTACCATAGACCTCAAAGCGCTCCAAATCTCCACTTGCACATTCCACAACAAGAGTGTTTCCAAACTGCTCTATCAATAGGAATGTTCAACTCTGTGAGGTGAATGCAATCATCACAAAGCAGTTTCTGAGAATGCTTCCGTTTAGTTAGGTGCAGTTATCCCGTTTCCAACGAAATCCTCAGAGAGGTCCAAATATCCACTTGTAGATTCTACAAAAAGTGTGTCTCAAACCTGCTCCATCCAAAGGAATGTTCAGCTCTGTGATTTTAACTCAATCATCACAAAGTATTTTCTGAGAATGCTTCTGTCTAGATTTTATGCGAAGATATACCCGTTTCGAACGAAGGCCACAGAGTGGTCCAAATATCCACTTGCAGATCCTACAAAAAGAGTGTTTCAAACCTGAACTATCAAAGGAAGGTTCAACTCTGGGATTTGAATGCAAACATCACCAAGAAGTTTCTGAGAATGCTTCTGTTTAGTTTTTATGTGAAGATATTCCCGTTTCCAAAGACATCTTCGGAGAGGTCCACATATCCACTTGCAGATTCCACAAAAAGAGAGTTTCAACACTGCTCTATCCATAGGAGGGTTCAACTCTGTGAGTTGAATGCAATCATCACAGAGAAGTTTCTGAGAAGGCTTCTCTCCAGTTTTTATGTGACCATAATTCGTTTTCCACCACAGGCCTGAAAGCGCTCCAAATGTCCACTTGTAGACACTACGAAAAGCATGTTTCAGAACTACTCTATGAAAAGCAATGTGAAACTCTGGGAGTTGAACACAAACATCACAGAGAAGTTTCTGAGAATGCTTCTGTTTAGCTTTCCTGTGAAGATTCTCCCGTTTCCAACGAAATCTTCAAAATAGGTCCAAATATCCACTTGCAGATTCCACAGAAAGAGTGATTGGAAACTGCTCTTTGAAAAGGAACCTTCAACTCTGTGAGTTGAATGCAATCATCACAAAGAAGTTTCTGACAATGCTTCTATCTAGCTTTTACGGGAAGATAATTCCTTTTCCACCACAGGCCTCAAAGCCCTCCAAATGTCCACTTGCAGATTCTGGAAAAAGAGTGTTTCAAAGCTTCTCTCTCGAAAGGAAAGTTCAACTCTGTGAGTTGAATGCAAGCATCACAAAGAAGTTTCTGAGAATGCTACTGTCTAGCTTTTATATGAAGCTATTTCCTTTACTACCATAGGCCTCAAAGCGGTCCATATCTCCACTTGCAGATTCTACACAAAGAGAGTTTCCAAACTGCTCTGTCAAAGGGAATGTTCAACTCTGTGACTTGAATGCAATCATCACAAAGTAGTTTCTGAGAATGCTTCTGTTTAGTTCTGTGCGGTTTATCCCGTTTCCAACGAAATCCTCAGAGAGGCCCAAATATCCACTTGCACATTCTACAAATAGTGTGTTTCGAAACTGCTCCATCCAAAGGAATGTTCAGCTCTGTGAGTTAAACTCAGTCGTCACCAAGAGTTTTCTGTGAATGCTTCTGTTTTAGTTCTGTGCGGGTTATCCCGTTTCCAACGAAATCCTCAGAGAGGTCCAAATATCTACTTGCAGTTTCTACAGAAAGACCGTTTCAAACCTGAACTATCAAAGAAAGGTTCAACACTGTGAGTTGAATGCAAACATCACGAAGAAGGTTCTGAGAATGCTTCTGTTTAGTTCTGTGCAGTTTATCCCGTTTCCAACGAAATGCTCAGAGAGGACCAAATATCCACTTGCAGTTTCTACAAAAAGAGTGTTTCAAAGCTGAACTATCAAAGAAAGGTTCAGCACTGTGAGTTGAATGCAAACATCACGAAGAGGGTTCTGAGAATGCTTCTGTCTTCTTTTTATAGGAAGTTATTTCCTTTACTACGGTACTCCTCAAAGAGTGCAATTATCCCCTTGCAGTTTCTACAGAAAGAGTGTTTCAAACCTGAACTATCAAAGAAAGGTTCCACACTGTGAGTTGAATGCAGACATCACGAAGAAGGTTCTGAGAATGCTTCTGTTTAGTCGGCTGAAATTATCCCGTTTCCAACGAATTCCTCAGAGAGGTCCAAATATGCACTTGCAGATTCTGCAGAAAGTGTGTTTCTAAACTGCTCCATCGCAAGGAATGTTCAGCTCTGTGAGTTCAACTCAATCATCCCAAAGAATTTTCTGAGAAAGCTTCTGTCTAGATATCATGTGAAGATATACCCGTTTCGAACGAAGGACACAGAGTGGTCCAAATATCCACTTGTAGATCCTGCAAAAAGAGTGTTTCAAACGTGAACTTGGAAAGGAAAGTTCAACTCTGGGATTTGAATGCAAACATCACAAAGAAGATTCTGAGACTGCTTCTGTATAGTTTTTATGTGAAGATGATTCCGTTTCCAACGAAATCTTCAAAGAGGTCTACATGTCCCCTTGCAGATGCCACAGAAAGAGAGTTTCAAAACTACGCTCTCAAAAGGAGTGTTCAACTCCGTGAGTTGAATGCAGTCATCACAGAGAAGCTTCTGAGAATGCTTCTATCTAGTATTTAGGTGAAGATATTTCCTTTTCCACCACAAACCACAAAGCCCTCCAAACGTCCACTTGCAGATTCTAGAAAAAGAGTGTTTCATAGCTGCTCTTTCCAAAGGAAAGTTCAACTCTGGGAGTTGAATACAAACATCACCAAAAAGTTCCTGAGAATGCATCTGTCAATTTTTTCTATGAAGCTATTCCCTTTACTACCATAGGCCTCAAAGCGCTCCAAATCTCCACTTGCACATTCCACAACAAGAGTGTTTCCAAACTGCTCTATCAATAGGAATGTTCAACTCTGTGAGGTGAATGCAATCATCACAAAGCAGTTTCTGAGAATGCTTCCGTTTAGTTAGGTGCAGTTATCCCGTTTCCAACGAAATCCTCAGAGAGGTCCAAATATCCACTTGTAGATTCTACAAAAAGTGTGTCTCAAACCTGCTCCATCCAAAGGAATGGTCAGCTCTGTGATTTAAACTCAATCATCACAAAGTATTTTCTGAGAATGCTTCTGTCTAGATTTTATGCGAAGATATACCCGTTAAGAACGAAGGCCACAGAGTGGTCCAAATAGCCACTTGCAGATCCTACAAAAAGAGTGTTTCAAACCTGAACTATCAAAGGAAGGTTCAACTCTGGGATTTGAATGCAAACATCACCAAGAAGTTTCTGAGAATGCTTCTGTTTAGTTTTTATGTGAAGATATTCCCGTTTCCAAAGACATCTTCGGAGAGGTCCACATATCCGCTTGCAGATTCCACAAAAAGAGAGTTTCAACACTGCTCTATCCATAGGAGGGTTCAACTCTGTGAGTTGAATGCAATCATCACAGAGAAGTTTCTGAGAAGGCTTCTCTCCAGTTTTTATGTGACCATAATTCGTTTTCCACCGCAGGCCTGAAAGCACTCCAAATGTCCACTTGCAGACACTACGAAAAGCATGTTTCAGAACTACTCTATGAAAATCAATGTGAAACTCTGGGAGTTGAACACAAACATCACAGAGAAGTTTCTGAGTATGCTTTCTGTTTTAGTTCTGTGCGTTTTATCCCGTTTCCAACGAAATCCTCAGAGAGGCCCAAATATCCACTTGCAGATTCCACAGAAAGAGTGATTGGAAACTGCTGTTTGAAAAGGAACCTTCAACTCTGTGAGTTGAATGCAATCATCACAAAGAAGTTTCTGACAATGCTTCTATCTAGCTTTTACGGGAAGATAATTCCTTTTCCACCACAGGCCTCAAAGCTCCCCAAATGTCCACTTGCACATTCTGGAAAAAGAGTGTTTCAAAGCTTCTCTCTCGAAAGGAAAGTTCAACTCTGTGAGTTGAATGCAAGCATCACAAAGAAGTTTCTGAGAATGCTACTGTCTAGCTTTTATATGAAGCTCTTTCCTTTACTACCATAGGCCTCAAAGCGGTCCATATCTCCACTTGCAGATTCTACACAAAGAGAGTTTCCAAACTGCTCTGTCAAAGGGAATGTTCAACTCTGTGACTTGAATGCAATCATCACAAAGTAGTTTCTGAGAATGCTTCTGTTTTAGTTCTGTGCGTTTTATCCCGTTTCCAACGAAATCCTCAGAGAGGCCCAAATATCCACTTGCAGATTCTACAAATAGTGTGTTTCGAAACTGCTCCATCCAAAGGAATGTTCAGCTCTGTGAGTTAAACTCAGTCGTCACCAAGAGTTTTCTGTGAATGCTTCTGTTTTAGTTCTGTGCGGTTTATCCCGTTTCCAACGAAATCCTCAGTAGTAGGACCAAATATCCACTTGCAGTTTCTACAAAAAGAGTGTTTCAAAGCTGCACTATCAAAGAAAGGTTCAGCACTGTGAGTTGAATGCAAACATCACGAAGAGGGCTCTGAGAATGCTTCTGTTTAGTTCTGTGCGGTTTATCCCGTTTCCAACGAAATCCTCAGAGAGGACCAAATATCCACTTGCAGTTTCTACAAAAAGAGTGTTTCAAAGCTGAACTATCAAAGAAAGGTTCAGCACCGTGAGTTGAATGCAAACATCACGAAGAGTGTTCTGAGAATGCTTCTGTCTTCTTTTTATAGGAAGTTATTTCCTTTACTACGGTACTCCTCAAAGAGTGCAATTATCCCCTTGCAGTTTCTACAGAAAGAGTGTTTCAAACCTGAACTATCAAAGAAAGGTTCCACACTGTGAGTTGAATGCAGACATCACGAAGAAGTTCTGAGAATGCTTCTGTTTAGTCAGCTGAAATTATCCCGTTTCCAACGAATTCCTCACAGAGGTCCAAATATGCACTTGCAGATTCTGCAGAAAGTGTGTTTCTAAACTGCTACATCGCAAGGAATGCTCAGCTCTGTGAGTTCAACTCAATCATCCCAAAGAATTTTCTGAGAAAGCTTCTGTCTAGATGTCATGTGAAGATATACCCGTTTCGAACGAAGGACACAGAGTGGTCCAAATATCCACTTGTAGATCCTGCAAAAAGAGTGTTTCAAACGTGAACTTTGAAAGGCAAGTTCAACTCTGGGATTTGAATGCAAACATCACAAAGAAGATTCTGAGACTGCTTCTGTATAGTTTTGATGTGAAGATGATTCCGTTTCCAACGAAATCTTCAAAGAGGTCTACATGTCCCCTTGCAGATGCCACAGAAAGAGAGTTCCAAAACTGCGCTCTCAAAAGGAGTGTTCAACTCCGTGAGTTGAATGCAGTCATCACAGAGAAGCTTCTGAGAATGCTTCTATCTAGTATTTAGGTGAAGATATTTCCTTTTCCACCACAAACCACAAAGCCCTCCAAACGTCCACTTGCAGATTCTAGAAAAAGAGTGTTTCATAGCTGCTCTTTCCAAAGGAAAGTTCAACTCTGGGAGTTGAATACAAACATCACCAAAAAGTTCCTGAGAATGCATCTGCCTAGTTTTTCTATGAAGCTATTCCCTTTACTACCATAGGCCTCAAAGCGCTCCAAATCTCCACTTGCACATTCCACAACAAGAGTGTTTCCAAACTGCTCTATCAATAGGAATGTTCAACTCTGTGAGGTGAATGCAATCATCACAAAGCAGTTTCTGAGAATGCTTCCGTTTAGTTAGGTGCAGTTATCGCGTTTCCAACGAAATCCTCAGAGAGGTCCAAATATCCACTTGTAGATTCTACAAAAAGTGTGTCTCAAACCTGCTCCATCCAAAGGAATGTTCAGCTCTGTGAGTTAAACTCAATCATCACAAAGTATTTTCTGAGAATGCTTCTGTCTAGATTTTATGCGAAGATGTACCCGTTTCGAACGAAGGCCACAGAGTGGTCCAAATATCCACTTGCAGATCCTACAAAAAGAGTATTTCAAACCTGAACTATCAAAGGAAGGTTCAACTCTGGGATTTGAATGCAAACATCACCAAGAAGTTTCTGAGAATGCTTCTGTTTAGTTTTCATGTGAAGATATTCCCGTTTCCAAAGACATCTTCGGAGAGGTCCACATATCCACTTGCAGATTCCACAAAAAGAGAGTTTCAACACTGCTCTATCCATAGGAGGGTTCAACTCCGTGAGTTGAATGCAATCATCACAGAGAAGTTTCTGAGAAGGCTTCTCTCCAGTTTTTATGTGACCATAATTCGTTTTCCACCACAGGCCTGAAAGCGCTCCAAATGTCCACTTGCAGACACTACGAAAAGCATGTTTCAGAACTACTCTATGAAAAGCAATGTGAAACTCTGGGAGTTGAACACAAACATCACAGAGAAGTTTCTGAGAATGCTTCTTCTGTTTTAGTTCTGTGCGTTTTATCCCGTTTCCAACGAAATCCTCAGAGAGGCCCAAATATCCACTTGCAGATTCCACAGAAAGAGTGATTGGAAACTGCTGTTTGAAAAGGAACCTTCAACTCTGTGAGTTGAATGCAATCATCACAAAGAAGTTTCTGACAATGCTTCTATCTAGCTTTTACGGGAAGTTAATTCCTTTTCCACCACAGGCCTCAAAGCCCTCCAAATGTCCACTTGCAGATTCTGGAAAAAGAGTGTTTCAAAGCTTCTCTCTCGAAAGGAAAGTTCAACTCTGTGAGTTGAATGCAAGCATCACAAAGAAGTTTCTGAGAATGCTACTGTCTAGCTTTTATATGAAGCTATTTCCTTTACTACCATAGGCCTCAAAGCGGTCCATATCTCCACTTGCAGATTCTACACAAAGAGAGTTTCCAAACTGCTCTGTCAAAGGGAATGTTCAACTCTGTGACTTGAATGCAATCATCACAAAGTAGTTTCTGAGAATGCTTCTGTTTAGTTCTGTGCGGTTTATCCCGTTTCCAACGAAATCCTCAGAGAGGCCCACATATCCACTTGCACCTTCTAGAAATAGTGTGTTTCGAAACTGCTCCATCCAAAGGAATGTTCAGCTCTGTGAGTTAAACTCAGTCGTCACCAAGAGTTTTCTGTGAATGCTTCTGTTTTAGTTCTGTGCGGTTTATCCCGTTTCCAACGAAATCCTCAGAGAGGTCCAAATATCTACTTGCAGTTTCCACAGAAAGACCGTTTCAAACCTGAACTATCAAAGAAAGGTTCAACACTGTGAGTTGAATGCAAACATCACGAAGAAGGTTCTGAGAATGCTTCTGTTTAGTTCTGTGCAGTTTATCCCGTTTCCAACGAAATCCTCAGAGAGGACCAAATATCCACTTGCAGTTTCTACAAAAAGAGTGTTTCAAAGCTGAACTATCAAAGAAAGGTTCAGCACCGTGAGTTGAATGCAAACATCACCAAGAGGGTTCTGAGAATGCTTCTGTCTTCTTTTTATAGGAAGTTATTTCCTTTACTACGGTAGGCCTCAAAGAAGTGCAATTATCCCCTTGCAGTTTCTACAAAAAGAGTGTTTCAAACCTGAACTATCAAATAAAGGTTCCACACTGTGAGTTGAATGCAGACATCACGAAGAAGGTTCTGAGAATGCTTCTGTTTAGTCAGCTGAAATTATCCCGTTTCCAACGAATTCCTCAGAGAGGTCCAAATATGCACTTGCAGATTCTGCAGAAAGTGTGTTTCTAAACTGCTACATCGCAAGGAATGTTCAGCTCTGTGAGTTCCACTCAATCATCCCAAAGAATTTTCTGAGAAAGCTTCTGTCTAGATGTCATGTGAAGATATACCCGTTTCGAACGAAGGACACAGCAGTGGTCCAAATATCCACTTGTAGATCCTGCAAAAAGAGTGTTTCAAACGTGAACTTTGAAAGGAAAGTTCAACTCTGGGATTTGAATGCAAACACCACAAAGAAGATTCTGAGACTGCTTCTGTATAGTTTTTATGTGAAGATGATTCCGTTTCCAACGAAATCTTCAAAGAGGTCTACATGTCCCCTTGCAGATGCCACAGAAAGAGAGTTTCAAAACTGCGCTCTCAAAAGGAGTGATCAACTCCGTGAGTTGAATGCAGTCATCACAGAGAAGCTTCTGAGAATGCTTCTATCTAGTATTTAGGTGAAGATATTTCCTTTTCCACCACAAACCACAAAGCCCTCCAAACGTCCACTTGCAGATTCTAGAAAAAGAGTGTTTCATAGCTGCTCTTTCCAAAGGAAAGTTCAACTCTGGGAGTTGAATACAAACATCACCAAAAAGTTCCTGAGAATGCATCTGTCTAGTTTTTCTATGAAGCTATTCCCTTTACTACCATAGGCCTCAAAGCGCTCCAAATCTCCACTTGCACATTCCACAATAAGAGTGTTTCCAAACTGCTCTATCAATAGGAATGTTCAACTCTGTGAGGTGAATGCAATCATCACAAAGCAGTTTCTGAGAATGCTTCCGTTTAGTTAGGTGCAGTTATCCCGTTTCCAACGAAATCCTCCGAGAGGTCCAAATATCCACTTGTAGATTCTACAAAAAGTGTGTCTCAAACCTGCTCCATCCAAAGGAATGTTCAGCTCTGTGAGTTAAACTCAATCATCACAAAGTATTTTCTGAGAATGCTTCTGTCTGGATTTTATGCGAAGATATACCAGTTTCGAACGAAGGCCACAGAGTGGTCCAAATATCCACTTGCAGATCCTACAAAAAGAGTGTTTCAAACCTGAACTATCAAAGGAAGGTTCAACTCTGGGATTTGAATGCAAACATCACCAAGAAGTTTCTGAGAATGCTTCTGTTTAGTTTTTATGTGAAGATATTCCCGTTTCCAAAGACATCTTCGGAGAGGTCCACATATCCACTTGCAGATTCCACAAAAAGAGAGTTTCAACACTGCTCTATCCATAGGAGGGTTCAACTCTGTGAGTTGAATGCAATCATCACAGAGAAGTTTCTGAGAAGGCTTCTCTC
Source organism: Homo sapiens (assembly GCF_000001405.40). Classification (NCBI taxonomy): domain Eukaryota; kingdom Metazoa; phylum Chordata; class Mammalia; order Primates; family Hominidae; genus Homo; species Homo sapiens. The sequence goes on along the minus strand of NC_000017.11, from coordinate 25,869,765 downwards.
CAGTTTTTATGTGACCATAATTCGTTTTCCACCACAGGCCTGAAAGCGCTCCAAATGTCCACTTGCAGACACTACGAAAAGCATGTTTCAGAACTACTCTATGAAAAGCAACGTGAAACTCTGGGAGTTGAACACAAACATCACAGAGAAGTTTCTGAGAATGCTTCTGTTTTAGTTCTGTGCGTTTTATCCCGTTTCCAACGAAATCCTCAGAGAGGCCCAAATATCCACTTGCAGATTCCACAGAAAGAGTGATTGGAAACTGCTGTTTGAAAAGGAACCTTCAACTCTGTGAGTTGAATGCAATCATCACAAAGAAGTTTCTGACAATGCTTCTATCTAGCTTTTACGGGAAGATAATTCCTTTTCCACCACAGACATCAAAGCCCTCCAAAGGTCCACTTGCAGATTCTGGAAAAAGAGTGTTTCAAAGCTTCTCTCTCGAAAGGAAAGTTCAACTCTGTGAGTTGAATGCAAGCATCACAAAGAAGTTTCTGAGAATGCTACTGTCTAGCTTTTATATGAAGCTATTTCCTTTACTACCATAGGCCTGAAAGCGGTCCATATCTCCACTTGCAGATTCTACACAAAGAGAGTTTCCAAACTGCTCTGTCAAAGGGAATGTTGAACTCTGTGACTTGAATGCAATCATCACAAAGTAGTTTCTGACAATGGTTCTGTTTTAGTTCTGTGCGGTTTATCCCGTTTCCAACGAAATCCTCAGAGAGGCCCACATATCCACTTGCAGATTCTACAAATAGTGTGTTTTGAAACTGCTCCATCCAAAGGAATGTTCAGCTCTGTGAGTTAAACTCAGTCGTCACCAAGAGTTTTCTGTGAATGCTTCTGTTTTAGTTCTGTGCGGTTTATCCCGTTTCCAACGAAATCCTCAGAGAGGACCAAACATCCACTTGCAGTTTCTACAAAAAGAGTGTTTCAAAGCTGCACTATCAAAGAAAGGTTCAGCACTGTGAGTTGAATGCAAACATCACGAAGAGGGCTCTGAGAATTCTTCTGTTTAGTTCTGTGCGGTTTATCCCGTTTCCAACGAAATCCTCAGAGAGGACCAAATATCCACTTGCAGTTTCTACAAGAAGAGTGTTTCAAAGCTGAACTATCAAAGAAAGGTTCAGCACTGTGAGTTGAATGCAAACATCACGAAGAGGGTTCTGAGAATGCTTCTGTCTTCTTTCTATAGGAAGTTATTTCCTTTACTACGGTAGGCCTCAAAGAAGTGCAATTATCCCCTTGCAGTTTCTACAAAAAGAGTGTTTCAAACCTGAACTATCAAAGAAAGGTTCCACACTGTGAGTTGAATGCAGACATCACGAAGAAGGTTCTGAGAATGCTTCTGTTTAGTCAGCTGAAATTATCCCGTTTCCAACGAATTCCTCAGAGAGGTCCAAATATGCACTTGCAGATTCTGCAGAAAGTGTGTTTCTAAACTGCTCCATCGCAAGGAATGTTCAGCTCTGTGAGTTCCACTCAATCATCCCAAAGAATTTTCTGAGAAAGCTTCTGTCTAGATGTCATGTGAAGATATACCCGTTTCGAACGAAGGACACAGAGTGGTCCAAATATCCACTTGTAGATCCTGCAAAAAGAGTGTTTCAAACGTGAACTTTGAAAGGAAAGTTCAACTCTGGGATTTGAATGCAAACATCACAAAGAAGATTCTGAGACTGCTTCTGTATAGTTTTTATGTGAAGATGATTCCGTTTCCAACGAAATCTTCAAAGAGGTCTACATGTCCCCTTGCGGATGCCACAGAAAGAGAGTTTCAAAACTGCGCTCTCAAAAGGAGTGTTCAACTCCGTGAGTTGAATGCAGTCATCACAGAGAAGCTTCTGAGAATGCTTCTATCTAGTATTTAGGTGAAGATATTTCCTTTTCCACCACAAACCACAAAGCCCTCCAAACGTCCACTTGCAGATTCTAGAAAAAGAGTGTTTCATAGCTGCTCTTTCCAAAGGAAAGTTCAACTCTGGGAGTTGAATACAAACATCACCAAAAAGTTCCTGAGAATGCATCTGTCTAGTTTTTCTATGAAGCTATTCCCTTTACTACCATAGGCCTCAAAGCGCTCCAAATCTCCACTTGCACATTCCACAACAAGAGTGTTTCCAAACTGCTCTATCAATAGGAATGTTCAACTCTGTGAGGTGAATGCAATAATCACAAAGCAGTTTCTGAGAATGCTTCCCTTTAGTTAGGTGCAGTTATCCCGTTTCCAACGAAATCCTCAGAGAGGTCCAAATATCCACTTGTAGATTCTACAAAAAGTGTGTCTCAAACCTGCTCCACCCAAAGGAATGTTCAGCTCTTTGAGTTAAACTCAATCATCACAAAGTATTTTCTGAGAATGCTTCTGTCTAGATTTTATGCGAAGATGTACCCGTTTCGAACGAAGGCCACAGAGTGGTCCAAATAGCTACTTGCAGATCCTACAAAAAGAGTGTTTCAAACCTGAACTATCAAAGGAAGGTTCAACTCTGGGATTTGAATGCAAACATCACCAAGAAGTTTCTGAGAATGCTTCTGTTTAGTTTTTATGTGAAGATATTCCCGTTTCCAAAGACATCTTCGGAGAGGTCCACATATCCACTTGCAGATTCCACAAAAAGAGAGTTTCAACACTGCTCTATCCATAGGAGGGTTCAACTCAGTGAGTTGAATGCAATCATCACAGAGAAGTTTCTGAGAAGGCTTCTCTCCAGTTTTTATGTGACCATAATTCGTTTTCCACCACAGGCCTGAAAGCGCTCCAAATGTCCACTTGCAGACACTACGAAAAGCATGTTTCAGAACTACTCTATGAAAAGCAATGTGCAACTCTGGGAGTTGAACACAAACATCACAGAGAAGTTTCTGAGAATGCTTCTGTTTAGCTTTCCTGTGAAGATTCTCCCGTTTCCAACGAAATCTTCAAAATAGGTCCAAATATCCACTTGCAGATTCCACAGAAAGAGTGATTGGAAACTGCTCTTTGAAAAGGAACCTTCAACTACTGTGAGTTGAATGCAATCATCACAAAGAAGTTTCTGACAATGCTTCTATCTAGCTTTTACGGGAAGATAATTCCTTTTCCACCACAGGCCTCAAAGCCCTCCAAATGTCCACTTGCAGATTCTGGAAAAAGAGTGTTTCAAAGCTTCTCTCTCGAAAGGAAAGTTCAACTCTGTGAGTTGAATGCAAGCATCACAAAGAAGTTTCTGAGAATGCTACTGTCTAGCTTTTATATGAAGCTATTTCCTTTACTACCATAGGCCTCAAAGCGGTCCATATCTCCACTTGCAGATTCTACACAAAGAGAGTTTCCAAACTGCTCTGTCAAAGGGAATGTTCAACTCTGTGACTTGAATGCAATCATCACAAAGTAGTTTCTGAGAATGCTTCTGTTTAGTTCTGTGCGGTTTATCCCGTTTCCAACGAAATCCTCAGAGAGGCCCACATATCCACTTGCACATTCTACAAATAGTGTGTTTCGAAACTGCTCCATCCAAAGGAATGTTCAGTTCTGTGAGTTAAACTCAGTCGTCACCAAGAGTTTTCTGTGAATGCTTCTGTTTTAGTTCTGTGCGGTTTATCCCGTTTCCAACGAAATCCCCAGAGAGGTCGAAATATCTACTTGCAGTTTCTACAGAAAGACCGTTTCAAACCTGAACTATCAAAGAAAGGTTCAACACTGTGAGTTGAATGCAAACATCACGAAGAAGGTTCTGAGAATGCTTCTGTTTAGTTCTGTGCGGTTTATCCCGTTACCAACGAAATCCTCAGAGAGGACCAAATATCCACTTGCAGTTTCTACAAAAAGAGTGTTTCAAAGCTGAACTATCAAAGAAAGATTCAGCACCGTGAGTTGAATGCAAACATCACGAAGAGGGTTCTGAGAATGCTTCTGTCTTCTTTCTATAGGAAGTTATTTCCTTTACTACGGTAGGCCTCAAAGAAGTGCAATTATCCCCTTGCAGTTTCTACAAAAAGAGTGTTTCAAACCTGAACTATCAAAGAAAGGTTCCACACTGTGAGTTGAATGCAGACATCACGAAGAAGGTTCTGAGAATGCTTCTGTTTAGTCAGCTGAAATTATCCCGTTTCCAACGAATTCCTCAGAGAGGTCCAAATATGCACTTGCAGATTCTGCAGAAAGTGTGTTTCTAAACTGCTCCATCGCAAGGAATGTTCAGCTCTGTGAGTTCAACTCAATCATCCCAAAGAATTTTCTGAGAAAGCTTCTGTCTAGATGTCATGTGAAGATATACCCGTTTCGAACGAAGGACACAGAGTGGTCCAAATATCCACTTGTAGATCCTGCAAAAAGAGTGTTTCAAACGTGAACTTTGAAAGGAAAGTTCAACTCTGGGATTTGAATGCAAACATCACAAAGAAGATTCTGAGACTGCTTCTGTATAGTTTTTATGTGAAGATGATTCCGTTTCCAACGAAATCTTCAAAGAGGTCTACATGTCCCCTTGCAGATGCCACAGAAAGAGAGTTTCAAAACTGCGCTCTCAAAAGGAGTGTTCAACTCCGTGAGTTGAATGCAGTCATCACAGAGAAGCTTCTGAGAATGCTTCTATGTAGTATTTAGGTGAAGATATTTCCTTTTCCACCACAAACCACAAAGCCCTCCAAACGTCCACTTGCAGATTCTAGAAAAAGAGTGTTTCATAGCTGCTCTTTCCAAAGGAAAGTTCAACTCTGGGAGTTGAATACAAACATCACCAAAAAGTTCCTGAGAATGCATCTGTCTAGTTTTTCTATGAAGCTATTCCCTTTACTACCATAGGCCTCAAAGCGCTCCAAATCTCCACTTGCACATTCCACAACAAGAGTGTTTCCAAACTGCTCTATCAATAGGAATGGTCAACTCTGTGAGGTGAATGCAATCATCACAAAGCAGTTTCTGAGAATGCTTCCGTTTAGTTCGGTGCAGTTATCCCGTTTCCAACGAAATCCTCAGAGAGGTCAAAATATCCACTTGTAGATTCTACAAAAAGTGTGTCTCAAGCCTGCTCCATCCAAAGGAATGTTCAGCTCTGTGAGTTAAACTCAATCATCACAAAGTATTTTCTGAGAATGCTTCTGTCTAGATTTTATGCGAAGATGTACCCGTTTCGAACGAAGGCCACAGAGTGGTCCAAATATCCACTTGCAGATCCTACAAAAAGAGTGTTTCAAACCTGAACTATCAAAGGAAGGTTCAACTCTGGGATTTGAATGCAAACATCACCAAGAAGTTTCTGAGAATGCTTCTGTTTAGTTTTTATGTGAAGATAGTCCCGTTTCCAAAGACATCTTCGGAGAGGTCCACATATCCACTTGCAGATTCCACAAAAAGAGAGTTTCAACACTGCTCTATCCATAGGAGGGTTCAACTCTGTGAGTTGAATGCAATCATCACAGAGAAGTTTCTGAGAAGGCTTCTCTCCAGTTTTTATGTGACCATAATTCGTTTTCCACCACAGTCCTGAAAGCGCTCCAAATGTCCCCTTGCAGACACTACGAAAAACATGTTTCAGAACTACTCTATGAGAAGCAATGTGACACTCTGGGAGTTGAACACAAACATCACAGAGAAGTTTCTGAGAATGCTTCTGTTTAGCTTTTCTGTGAAGGTTATCCCGTTTCCAACGAAATCTTCAAAGAGGTCCAAATATCCACTTGCAGATTCCACAGAAAGAGTGTTTGGAAACTGCTGTTTGAAAAGGAACCTTCAACTCTGTGAGTTGAATGGAATCATCACAAAGAAGTTTCTGACAATGCTTCTATCTAGCTTTTACGGGAAGATAATTCCTTTTCCACCACAGACATCAAAGCCCTCCAAAGGTCCACTTGCAGATTCTGGAAAAAGAGTGTTTCAAAGCTTCTCTCTCGAAAGGAAAGTTCAACTCTGTGAGTTGAATGCAAGCATCACAAAGAAGTTTCTGAGAATGCTACTGTCTAGCTTTTATATGAAGCTATTTCCTTTACTACCATAGGCCTCAAAGCGGTCCATATCTCCACTTGCAGATTCTACACAAAGAGAGTTTCCAAACTGCTCTGTCAAAGGGAATGTTCAACTCTGTGACGTGAATGCAATCATCACAAAGTAGTTTCTGAGAATGCTTCTGTTTAGTTCTGTGCGGTTTATCCCGTTTCCAACGAAATCCTCAGAGAGGCCCACATATCCACTTACACATTCTACAAATAGTGTGTTTCGAAACTGCTCCATCCAAAGGAATGTTCAGCTCTGTGAGTTAAACTCAGTCGTCACCAAGAGTTTTCTGTGAATGCTTCTGTTTTAGTTCTGGGCGGTTTATCCCGTTTCCAACGAAATCCTCAGAGAGGTCCAAATATCTACTTGCAGTTTCTACAGAAAGACCGTTTCAAACCTGAACTATCAAAGAAAGGTTCAACACTGTGAGTTGAATGCAAACATCACGAAGAAGGTTCTGAGAATGCTTCTGTTTAGTTCTGTGCGGTTTATCCCGTTTCCAACGAAATCCTCAGAGAGGACCAAATATCCACTTGCAGTTTCTACAAAAAGAGTGTTTCAAAGCTGAACTATCAAAGAAAGTTTCAGCACCGTGAGTTGAATGCAAACATCACGAAGAGGGTTCTGAGAATGCTTCTGTCTTCTTTCTATAGGAAGTTATTTCCTTTACTACGGTAGGCCTCAAAGAAGTGCAATTATCCCCTTGCAGTTTCTACAAAAAGAGTGTTTCAAACCTGAACTATCAAAGAAAGGTTCCACACTGTGAGTTGAATGCAGACATCACGAAGAAGGTTCTGAGAATGCTTCTGTTTAGTCAGCTGAAATTATCCCGTTTCCAACGAATTCCTCAGAGAGGTCCAAATATGCACTTGCAGATTCTGCAGAAAGTGTGTTTCTAAACTGCTCCATCGCAAGGAATGTTCAGCTCTGTGAGTTCCACTCAATCATCCCAAAGAATTTTCTGAGAAAGCTTCTGTCTAGATGTCATGTGAAGATATACCCGTTTCGAACGAAGGACACAGAGTGGTCCAAATATCCACTTGTAGATCCTGCAAAAAGAGTGTTTCAAACGTGAACTTTGAAAGGAAAGTTCAACTCTGGGATTTGAATGCAAACATCACAAAGAAGATTCTGAGACTGCTTCTGTATAGTTTTGATGTGAAGATGATTCCGTTTCCAACGAAATCTTCAAAGAGGTCTACATGTCCCCTTGCAGATGCCACAGAAACAGAGTTTCAAAACTGCGCTCTCAAAAGGAGTGTTCAACTCCGTGAGTTGAATGCAGTCATCACAGAGAAGCTTCTGAGAATGCTTCTATCTAGTATTGAGGTGAAGATATTTCCTTTTCCACCACAAACCACAAAGCCCTCCAAACGTCCACTTGCAGATTCTAGAAAAAGAGTGTTTCATAGCTGCTCTTTCCAAAGGAAAGTTCAACTCTGGGAGTTGAATAGAAACATCACCAAAAAGTTCCTGAGAATGCATCTGTCTAGTTTTTCTATGAAGCTATTCCCTTTACTACCATAGGCCTCAAAGCGCTCCAAATCTCCACTTGCACATTCCACAACAAGAGTGTTTCCAAACTGCTCTATCAATAGGAATGGTCAACTCTGTGAGGTGAATGCAATCATCACAAAGCAGTTTCTGAGAATGCTTCCGTTTAGTTAGGTGCAGTTATCCCGTTTCCAACGAAATCCTCAGAGAGGTCCAAATATCCACTTGTAGATTCTACAAAAAGTGTGTCTCAAACCTGCTCCATCCAAAGGAATGTTCAGCTCTGTGAGTTAAACTCAATCATCACAAAGTATTTTCTGAGAATGCTTCTGTCTAGATTTTATGCGAAGATATACCCGTTTCGAACGAAGGCCACAGAGTGGTCCAAATATCCACTTGCAGATCCTACAAAAAGAGTGTTTCAAACCTGAACTATCAAAGGAAGGTTCAACTCTGGGATTTGAATGCAAACATCACCAAGAAGTTTCTGAGAATGCTTCTGTTTAGTTTTTATGTGAAGATATTCCCGTTTCCAAAGACATCTTCGGAGAGGTCCACGTATCCACTTGCAGATTCCACAAAAAGAGAGTTTCAACACTGCTCTATCCATAGGAGGGTTCAACTCTGTGAGTTGAATGCAATCATCACAGAGAAGTTTCTGAGAAGGCTTCTCTCCAGTTTTTATGTGACCATAATTCGTTTTCCACCACAGGCCTGAAAGCGCTCCAAATGTCCACTTGTAGACACTACGAAAAGCATGTTTCAGAACTACTCTATGAAAAGCAATGTGAAACTCTGGGAGTTGAACACAAACATCACAGAGAAGTTTCTGAGAATGCTTCTGTTTAGCTTTCCTGTGAAGATTCTCCCGTTTCCAACGAAATCTTCAAAATAGGTCCAAATATCCACTTGCAGATTCCACAGAAAGAGTGATTGGAAACTGCTCTTTGAAAAGGAACCTTCAACTCTGTGAGTTGAATGCAATCATCACAAAGAAGTTTCTGACAATGCTTCTATCTAGCTTTTACGGGAAGTTAATTCCTTTTCCACCACAGGCCTCAAAGCCCTCCAAATGTCCACTTGCAGATTCTGGAAAAAGAGTGTTTCAAAGCTTCTCTCTCGAAAGGAAAGTTCAACTCTGTGAGTTGAATGCAAGCATCACAAAGAAGTTTCTGAGAATGCTACTGTCTAGCTTTTATATGAAGCTATTTCCTTTACTACCATAGGCCTCAAAGCGGTCCATATCTCCACTTGCAGATTCTACACAAAGAGAGTTTCCAAACTGCTCTGTCAAAGGGAATGTTCAACTCTGTGACTTGAATGCAATCATCACAAAGTAGTTTCTGAGAATGCTTCTGTTTTAGTTCTGTGCGGTTTATCCCGTTTCCAACGAAATCCTCAGAGAGGCCCAAATATCCACTTGCACATTCTACAAATAGTGTGTTTCGAAACTGCTCCATCCAAAGGAATGTTCAGCTCTGTGAGTTAAACTCAGTCGTCACCAAGAGTTTTCTGTGAATGCTTCTGTTTAGTTCTGTGCGGTTTATCCCGTTTCCAACGAAATCTTCAGAGAGGACCAAATATCCACTTGCAGTTTCTACAAGAAGAGTGTTTCAAAGCTGAACTATCAAAGAAAGGTTCAGCACTGTGAGTTGAATGCAAACATCACGAAGAGGGTTCTGAGAATGCTTCTGTCTTCTTTCTATAGGAAGTTATTTCCTTTACTACGGTAGGCCTCAAAGAAGTGCAATTATCCCCTTGCAGTTTCTACAAAAAGAGTGTTTCAAACCTGAACTATCAAAGAAAGGTTCCACACTGTGAGTTGAATGCAGACATCACGAAGAAGGTTCTGAGAATGCTACTGTTTAGTCAGCTGAAATTATCCCGTTTCCAACGAATTCCTCAGAGAGGTCCACATATGCACTTGCAGATTCTGCAGAAAGTGTGTTTCTAAACTGCTACATCGCAAGGAGTGTTCAGCTCTGTTTGCTCAACTCAATCATCCCAAAGAATTTTCTGAGAAAGCTTCTGTCTAGATGTCATGTGAAGATATACCCGTTTCGAACGAAGGACACAGAGTGGTCCAAATATCCACTTGTAGATCCTGCAAAAAGAGTGTTTCAAACGTGAACTTTGAAAGGAAAGTTCAACTCTGGGATTTGAATGCAAACATCACAAAGAAGATTCTGAGACTGCTTCTGTATAATTTTTATATGAAGATGATTCCGTTTCCAACGAAATCTTCCAAGAGGTCTACATGTCCCCTTGCAGATGCCACAGAAAGAGTTTCAAAACTGCGCTCTCAAAAGGAGTGTTCAACTCCTTGAGTTGAATGCAGTCATCACAGAGAAGCTTCTGAGAATGCTTCTATCTAATATTTAGGTGAAGATATTTCCTTTTCCACCACAAACCACAAAGCCCTCCAAACGTCCACTTGCAGATTCTAGAAAAAGGGTGTTTCATAGCTGCTCTTTCCAAAGGAAAGTTCAACTCTGGGAGTTGAATACAAACATCACCAAAAAGTTCCTGAGAATGCATCTGTCTTGTTTTTCTATGAAGCTATTCCCTTTACTACCATAGGCCTCAAAGCGCTCCAAATCTCCACTTGCACATTCCACAACAAGAGTGTTTCCAAACTGCTCTATCAATAGGAATGTTCAACTCTGTGAGGTGAATGCAATCATCACAAAGCAGTTTCTGAGAATGCTTCCGTTTAGTTAGGTGCAGTTATCCCGTTTCCAACGAAATCCTCAGAGAGGTCCAAATATCCACTTGTAGATTCTACAAAAAGTGTGTCTCAAACCTGCTCCATCCAAAGGAATGTTCAGCTCTGTGAGTTAAACTCAATCATCACAAAGTATTTTCTGAGAATGCTTCTGTCTAGATTTTATGCGAAGATGTACCCGTTTCGAACGAAGGCCACAGAGTGGTCCAAATATCCACTTGCAGATCCTACAAAAAGAGTGTTTCAAACCTGAACTATCAAAGGAAGCTTCAACTCTGGGATTTGAATGTAAACATCACCAAGAAGTTTCTGAGAATGCTTCTGTTTAGTTTTTATGTGAAGATATTCCCGTTTCCAAAGACATCTTCGGAGAGGTCCACATATCCACTTGCAGATTCCACAAAAAGAGAGTTTCAACACTGCTCTATCCATAGGAGGGTTCAACTCTGTGAGTTGAATGCAATCATCACAGAGAAGTTTCTGAGAAGGCTTCTCTCCAGTTTTTATGTGACCATAATTCGTTTTCCACCACAGGCCTGAAAGCACTCCAAATGTCCACTTGTAGACACTACGAAAAGCATGTTTCAGAACTACTCTATGAAAAGCAATGTGAAACTCTGGGAGTTGAACACAAACATCACAGAGAAGTTTCTGAGAATGCTTCTGTTTAGCTTTCCTGTGAAGATTCTCCCGTTTCCAACGAAATCTTCAAAATAGGTCCAAATATCCACTTGCAGATTCCACAGAAAGAGTGATTGGAAACTGCTCTTTGAAAAGGAACCTTCAACTCTGTGAGTTGAATGCAATCATCACAAAGAAGTTTCTGACAATGCTTCTATCTAGCTTTTACGGGAAGATAATTCCTTTTCCACCACAGGCCTCAAAGCCCTCCAAATGTCCACTTGCAGATTCTGGAAAAAGAGTGTTTCAAAGCTTCTCTCTCGAAAGGAAAGTTCAACTCTGTGAGTTGAATGCAAGCATCACAAAGAAGTTTCTGAGAATGCTACTGTCTTGCTTTTATATGAAGCTATTTCCTTTACTACCATAGTCCTCAAAGCGGTCCATATCTCCACTTGCAGATTCTACACAAAGAGAGTTTCCAAACTGCTCTGTCAAAGGGAATGTTCAACTCTGTGACTTGAATGCAATCATCACAAAGTAGTTTCTGAGAATGCTTCTGTTTAGTTCTGTGCGGTTTATCCCGTTTCCAACGAAATCCTCAGAGAGGCCTAAATATCCACTTGCACATTCTACAAATAGTGTGTTTCGAAACTGCTCCATCCAAAGGAATGTTCAGCTCTGTGAGTTAAACTCAGTCGTCACCAAGAGTTTTCTGTGAATGCTTCTGTTTTAGTTCTGTGCGGGTTATCCCGTTTCCAACGAAATCCTCAGAGAGGTCCAAATATCTACTTGCAGTTTCTACAGAAAGACCGTTTCAAACCTGAACTATCAAAGAAAGGTTCAACACTGTGAGTTGAATGCAAACATCACGAAGAAGGTTCTGAGAATGCTTCTGTTTAGTTCTGTGCAGTTTATCCCGTTTCCAACGAAATGCTCAGAGAGGACCAAATATCCACTTGCAGTTTCTACAAAAAGAGTGTTTCAAAGCTGAACTATCAAAGAAAGGTTCAGCACTGTGAGTTGAATGCAAACATCACGAAGAGGGTTCTGAGAATGCTTCTGTCTTCTTTCTATAGGAAGTTATTTCCTTTACTACGGTAGGCCTCAAAGAAGTGCAATTATCCCCTTGCAGTTTCTACAAAAAGAGTGTTTCAAACCTGAACTATCAAAGAAAGGTTCCACACTGTGAGTTGAATGCAGACATCACGAAGAAGGTTCTGAGAATGCTTCTGTTTAGTCAGCTGAAATTATCCCGTTTCCAACGAATTCCTCAGAGAGGTCCAAATATGCACTTGCAGATTCTGCAGAAAGTGTGTTTCTAAACTGCTACATCGCAAGGAATGTTCAGCTCTGTGAGTTCAACTCAATCATCCCAAAGAATTTTCTGAGAAAGCTTCTGTCTAGATGTCGTGTGAAGATATACCCGTTTCGAACGAAGGACACAGAGTGGTCCAAATATCCACTTGTAGATCCTGCAAAAAGAGTGTTTCAAACGTGAACTTTGAAAGGAAAGTTCAACTCTGGGATTTGAATGCTAACATCACAAAGAAGATTCTGAGACTGCTTCTGTATAGTTTTTATGTGAAGATGATTCCGTTTCCAACGAAATCTTCAAAGAGGTCTACATGTCCCCTTGCAGATGCCACAGAAAGAGAGTTTCAAAACTGCGCTCTCAAAAGGAGTGTTCAACTCCGTGAGTTGAATGCAGTCATCACAGAGAAGCTTCTGAGAATGCTTCTATCTAGTATTTAGGTGAAGATATTTCCTTTTCCACCACAAACCACAAAGCCCTCCAAACGTCCACTTGCAGATTCTAGAAAAAGAGTGTTTCATAGCTGCTCTTTCCAAAGGAAAGTTCAACTCTGGGAGTTGAATACAAACATCACCAAAAAGTTCCTGACAATGCATCTGTCTAGTTTTTCTATGAAGCTATTCCCTTTACTACCATAGGCCTCAAAGCGCTCCGAATCTCCACTTGCACATTCCACAAGAAGAGTGTTTCCAAACTGCTCTATCAATAGGAATGTTCAACTCTGTGAGGTGAATGCAATCAACACAAAGCAGTTTCTGAGAATGCTTCCGTTTAGTTAGGTGCAGTTATCCCGTTTCCAACGAAATCCTCAGAGAGGTCCAAATATCCCCTTGTAGATTCTACAAAAAGTGTGTCTCAAACCTGCTCCATCCAAAGGAATGTTCAGCTCTGTGAGTTCAACTCAATCATCACAAAGTATTTTCTGAGAATGCTTCTGTCTAGATTTTATGCGAAGATGTACCCGTTTCGAACGAAGGCCACAGAGTGGTCCAAATATCCACTTGCAGATCCTACAAAAAGAGTGTTTCAAACCTGAACTCTCAAAGGAAGGTTCAACTCTGGGATTTGAATGCAAACATCACGAAGAAGTTTCTGAGAATGCTTCTGTTTAGTTTTTATGTGAAGATATTCCCGTTTCCAAAGACATCTTCGGAGAGGTCCACACATCCACTTGCAGATTCCACAAAAAGAGAGTTTCAACACTGCTCTATCCATAGGAGGGTTCAACTCTGTGAGTTGAATGCAATCATCACAGAGAAGTTTCTGAGAAGGCTTCTCTCCAGTTTTTAAGTGACCATAATTCGTTTTCCACCACAGGCCTGAAAGCGCTCCAAATGTCCACTTGCAGACACTACGAAAAGCATGTTTCAGAACTACTCTATGAAAAGCAACGTGAAACTCTTGGGAGTTGAACACAAACATCACAGAGAAGTTTCTGAGAATGCTTCTGTTTTAGTTCTGTGCGTTTTATCCCGTTTCCAACGAAATCCTCAGAGAGGCCCAAATATCCACTTGCAGATTCCACAGAAAGAGTGATTGGAAACTGCTGTTTGAAAAGGAACCTTCAACTCTGTGAGTTGAATGCAATCATCACAAAGAAGTTTCTGACAATGCTTCTATCTAGCTTTTACGGGAAGATAATTCCTTTTCCACCACAGGCCTCAAAGCCCTCCAAATGTCCACTTGCAGATTCTGGAAAAAGAGTGTTTCAAAGCTTCTCTCTCGAAAGGAAAGTTCAACTCTGTGAGTTGAATGCAAGCATCACAAAGAAGTTTCTGAGAATGCTACTGTCTAGCTTTTATATGAAGCTATTTCCTTTACTACCATAGGCCTCAAAGCGGTCCGTATCTCCACTTGCAGATTCTACACAAAGAGAGTTTCCAAACTGCTCTGTCAAAGGGAATGTTCAACTCTGTGACTTGAATGCAATCATCACAAAGTAGTTTCTGAGAATGCTTCTGTTTAGTTCTGTGCGGTTTAACCCGTTTCCAACGAAATCCTCAGAGAGGCCTAAATATCCACTTGCACATTCTACAAATAGTGTGTTTCGAAACTGCTCCATCCAAAGGAATGTTCAGCTCTGTGAGTTAAACTCAGTCGTCACCAAGAGTTTTCTGTGAATGCTTCTGTTTTAGTTCTGTGCGGGTTATCCCGTTTCCAACGAAATCCTCAGAGCGGTCCAAATATCTACTTGCAGTTTCTGCAGAAAGACCGTTTCAAACCTGAACTATCAAAGAAAGGTTCAACACTGTGAGTTGAATGCAAACATCACGAAGAAGGTTCTGAGAATGCTTCTGTTTAGTTCTGTGCAGTTTATCCCGTTTCCAACGAAATGCTCAGAGAGGACCAAATATCCACTTGCAGTTTCTACAAAAAGAGTGTTTCAAAGCTGAACTATCAAAGAAAGGTTCAGCACTGTGAGTTGAATGCAAACATCACGAAGAGGGTTCTGAGAATGCTTCTGTCTTCTTTTTATAGGAAGTTATTTCCTTTACTACGGTACTCCTCAAAGAGTGCAATTATCCCCTTGCAGTTTCTACAAAAAGAGTGTTTCAAACCTGAACTATCAAAGAAAGGTTCCACACTGTGAGTTGAATGCAGACATCACGAAGAAGGTTCTGAGAATGCTTCTGTTTAGTCAGCTGAAATTATCCCGTTTCCAACGAATTCCTCAGAGAGGTCCAAATATGCACTTGCAGATTCTGCAGAAAGTGTGTTTCTAAACTGCTACATCGCAAGGAATGTTCAGCTCTGTGAGTTCCACTCAATCATCCCAAAGAATTTTCTGAGAAAGCTTCTGTCTAGATGTCATGTGAAGATATACCCGTTTCGAACGAAGGACACAGAGTGGTCCAAATATCCACTTGTAGATCCTGCAAAAAGAGTGTTTCAAACGTGAACTTTGAAAGGAAAGTTCAACTCTGGGATTTGAATGCAAACATCACAAAGAAGATTCTGAGACTGCTTCTGTATAGTTTTTATGTGAAGATGATTCCGTTTCCAACGAAACCTTCAAAGAGGTCTACATGTCCCCTTGCAGATGCCACAGAAAGAGAGTTTCAAAACTGTGCTCTCAAAAGGAGTGTTCAACTCCGTGAGTTGAATGCAGTCATCACAGAGAAGCTTCTGAGAATGCTTCTATCTAGTATTTAGGTGAAGATATTTCCTTTTCCACCACAAACCACAAAGCCCTCCAAACGTCCACTTGCAGATTCTAGAAAAAGAGTGTTTCATAGCTGCTCTTTCCAAAGGAAAGTTCAACTCTGGGAGTTGAATACAAACATCACCAAAAAGTTCCTGAGAATGCATCTGTCTAGTTTTTCTATGAAGCTATTCCCTTTACTACCATAGGCCTCAAAGCGCTCCAAATCTGCACTTGCACATTCCACAACAAGAGTGTTTCCAAACTGCTCTATCAATAGGAATGGTCAACCCTGTGAGGTGAATGCAATCATCACAAAGCAGTTTCTGAGAATGCTTCCGTTTAGTTAGGTGCAGTTATCCCGTTTCCAACGAAATCCTCAGAGAGGTCCAAATATCCACTTGTAGATTCTACAAAAAGTGTGTCTCAAACCTGCTCCATCCAAAGGAATGTTCAGCTCTGTGAGTTAAACTCAATCATCACAAAGTATTTTCTGAGAATGCTTCTGTCTAGATTTTATGCGAAGATATACCCGTTTCGAACGAAGGCCACAGAGTGGTCCAAATATCCACTTGCAGATCCTACAAAAAGAGTGTTTCAAACCTGAACTATCAAAGGAAGGTTCAACTCTGGCATTTGAATGCAAACATCACCAAGAAGTTTCTGAGAATGCTTCTGTTTAGTTTTTATGTGAAGATATTCCCGTTTCCAAAGACATCTTCGGAGAGGTCCACATATCCACTTGCAGATTCCACAAAAAGAGAGTTTCAACACTGCTCTATCCATAGGAGGGTTCAACTCTGTGAGTTGAATGCAATCATCACAGAGAAGTTTCTGAGAAGGCTTCTCTCCAGTTTTTATGTGACCATAATTCGTTTTCCACCACAGGCCTGAAAGCGCTCCAAATGTCCACTTGCAGACACTACGAAAAGCATGTTTCAGAACTACTCTATGAAAAGCAACGTGAAACTCTGGGAGTTGAACACAAACATCACAGAGAAGTTTCTGAGAATGCTTCTGTTTAGCTTTTCTGTGAAGATTCTCCCGTTTCCAACGAAATCTTCAAAGAGGTCGAAATATCCACTTGCAGATTCCACAGAAAGAGTGATTGGAAACTGCTGTTTGAAAAGGAACCTTCAACTCTGTGAGTTGAATGCAATCATCACAAAGAAGTTTCTGACAATGCTTCTATCTAGCTTTTACGGGAAGATAACTCCTTTTCCACCACAGGCCTCAAAGCCCTCGAAATGTCCACTTGCACATTCTGGAAAAAGAGTGTTTCAAAGCTTCTCTCTCGAAAGGAAAGTTCAACTCTGTGAGTTGAATGCAAGCATCACAAAGAAGTTTCTGAGAATGCTACTGTCTAGCTTTTATATGAAGCTATTTCCTTTACTACCATAGGCCTCAAAGCGGTCCATATCTCCACTTGCAGATTCTACACAAAGAGAGTTTCCAAACTGCTCTGTCAAAGGGAATGTTCAACTCTGTGACTTGAATGCAATCATCACAAAGTAGTTTCTGAGAATGCTTCTGTTTAGTTCTGTGCGGTTTATCCCGTTTCCAACGAAATCCTCAGAGAGGCCCAAATATCCACTTGCACATTCTACAAATAGTGTGTTTCGAAACTGCTCCATCCAAAGGAATGTTCAGCTCTGTGAGTTAAACTCAGTCGTCACCAAGAGTTTTCTGTGAATGCTTCTGTTTTAGTTCTGTGCGGTTTATCCCGTTTCCAACGAAATCCTCAGAGAGGTCCAAATATCTACTTGCAGTTTCTACATAAAGACCGTTTCCAACCTGAACTATCAAAGAAAGGTTCAACACTGTGAGTTGAATGCAAACATCACGAAGAAGGTTCTGAGAATGCTTCTGTTTAGTTCTGTGCGGTTTATCCCGTTTCCAACGAAATCCTCAGAGAGGACCAAATATCCACTTGCAGTTTCTACAAGAAGAGTGTTTCAAAGCTGAACTATCAAAGAAAGGTTCAGCACTGTGAGTTGAATGCAAACATCACGAAGAGGGTTCTGAGAATGCTTCTGTCTTCTTTCTATAGGAAGTTATTTCCTTTACTACGGTAGGCCTCAAAGAAGTGCAATTATCCCCTTGAAGTTTCTACAAAAAGAGTGTTTCAAACCTGAACTATCAAAGAAAGGTTCCACACTGTGAGTTGAATGCAGACATCACGAAGAAGGTTCTGAGAATGTTTCTGTTTAGTCAGCTGAAATTATCCCGTTTCCAACGAACTCCTCAGAGAGGTCCAAATATGCACTTGCAGATTCTGCAGAAAGTGTGTTTCTAAACTGCTACATCACAAGGAATGTTCAGCTCTGTGAGTTCCACTCAATCATCCCAAAGAATTTTCTGAGAAAGCTTCTGTCTAGATGTCATGTGAAGATATACCCGTTTCGAACGAAGGACACAGAGTGGTCCAAATATCCACTTGTAGATCCTGCAAAAAGAGTGTTTCAAACGTGAACTTTGAAAGGAAAGTTCAACTCTGGGATTTGAATGCAAACATCACAAAGAAGATTCTGAGACTGCTTCTGTATAGTTTTTATGTGAAGATGATTCCGTTTCCAACGAAATCTTCAAAGAGGTCCACATGTCCCCTTGCGGATGCCACAGAAAGAGAGTTTCAAAACTGCGCTCTCAAAAGGAGTGTTCAACTCCGTGAGTTGAATGCAGTCATCACAGAGAAGCTTCTGAGAATGCTTCTATCTAGTATTTAGGTGAAGATATTTCCTTTTCCACCACAAACCACAAAGCCCTCCAAACGTCCACTTGCAGATTCTAGAAAAAGAGTGTTTCATAGCTGCTCTTTCCAAAGGAAAGTTCAACTCTGGGAGTTGAATACAAACATCACCAAAAAGTTCCTGAGAATGCATCTGTCTAGTTTTTCTATGAAGCTATTCCCTTTACTACCACAGGCCTCAAAGCGCTTCCAAATCTCCACTTGCACATTCCACAACAAGAGTGTTTCCAAACTGCTCTATCAATAGGAATGTTCAACTCTGTGAGGTGAATGCAATCATCACAAAGCAGTTTCTGAGAATGCTTCCGTTTAGTTAGGTGCAGTTATCCCGTTTCCAACGAAATCCTCAGAGAGGTCCAAATATCCACTTGTAGATTCTACAAAAAGTGTGTCTCAAACCTGCTCCATCCAAAGGAATGGTCAGCTCTGTGATTTAAACTCAATCATCACAAAGTATTTTCTGAGAATGCTTCTGTCTAGATTTTATGCGAAGATATACCCGTTTCGAACGAAGGCCACAGAGTGGTCCAAATATCCACTTGCAGATCCTACAAAAAGAGTGTTTCAAACCTGAACTATCAAAGGAAGGTTCAACTCTGGGATTTGAATGCAAACATCACCAAGAAGTTTACTGAGAATGCTTCTGTTTAGTTTTTATGTGAAGATATTCCCGTTTCCAAAGACATCTTCGGAGAGGTCCACGTATCCACTTGCAGATTCCACAAAAAGAGAGTTTCAACACTGCTCTATCCATAGGAGGGTTCAACTCTGTGAGTTGAATGCAATCATCACAGAGAAGTTTCTGAGAAGGCTTCTCTCCAGTTTTTATGTGACCATAATTCGTTTTCCACCACAGGCCTGAAAGCGCTCCAAATGTCCACTTGTAGACACTACGAAAAGCATGTTTCAGAACTACTCTATGAAAAGCAATGTGAAACTCTGGGAGTTGAACACAAACATCACAGAGAAGTTTCTGAGAATGCTTCTGTTTTAGTTCTGTGCGTTTTATCCCGTTTCCAACGAAATCCTCAGAGAGGCCCAAATATCCACTTGCAGATTCCACAGAAAGAGTGATTGGAAACTGCTGTTTGAAAAGGAACCTTCAACTCTGTGAGTTGAATGCAATCATCACAAAGAAGTTTCTGACAATGCTTCTATCTAGCTTTTACGGGAAGATAATTCCTTTTCCACCACAGGCCTCAAAGCTCCCAAAATGTCCACTTGCACATTCTGGAAAAAGAGTGTTTCAAAGCTTCTCTCTCGAAAGGAAAGTTCAACTCTGTGAGTTGAATGCAAGCATCACAAAGAAGTTTCTGAGAATGCTACTGTCTAGCTTTTATATGAAGCTATTTCCTTTACTACCATAGGCCTCAAAGCGGTCCATATCTCCACTTGCAGATTCTACACAAAGAGAGTTTCCAAACTGCTCTGTCAAAGGGAATGTTCAACTCTGTGACTTGAATGCAATCATCACAAAGTAGTTTCTGAGAATGCTTCTGTTTTAGTTCTGTGTGTTTTATCCCGTTTCCAACGAAATCCTCAGAGAGGCCCAAATATCCACTTGCAGATTCTACAAATAGTGTGTTTCGAAACTGCTCCATCCAAAGGAATGTTCAGCTC
Source organism: Homo sapiens (assembly GCF_000001405.40). Lineage (NCBI taxonomy): Eukaryota > Metazoa > Chordata > Mammalia > Primates > Hominidae > Homo > Homo sapiens. The sequence goes on along the minus strand of NC_000017.11, from coordinate 25,850,125 downwards.
TGTGAGTTAAACTCAGTCGTCACCAAGAGTTTTCTGTGAATGCTTCTGTTTTAGTTCTGTGCGGTTTATCCCGTTTCCAACGAAATCCTCAGAGAGGACCAAATATCCACTTGCAGTTTCTACAAAAAGAGTGTTTCAAAGCTGCACTATCAAAGAAAGGTTCAGCACTGTGAGTTGAATGCAAACATCACGAAAAGGGCTCTGAGAATTCTTCTGTTTAGTTCTGTGCGGTTTATCCCGTTTCCAACGAAATCCTCAGAGAGGACCAATTATCCACTTGCAGTTTCTACAAGAAGAGTGTTTCAAAGCTGAACTATCAAAGAAAGGTTCAGCACTGTGAGTTGAATGCAAACATCACGAAGAGGGTTCTGAGAATGATTCTGTCTTCTTTCTATAGGAAGTTATTTCCTTTACTACGGTAGGCCTCAAAGAAGAGTAATTATCCCCTTGCAGTTTCTACAAAAAGAGTGTTTCAAACCTGAACTATCAAAGAAAGGTTCCACACTGTGAGTTGAATGCAGACATCACGAAGAAGGTTCTGAGAATGCTTCTGTTTAGTCAGCTGAAATTATCCCGTTTCCAACGAATTCCTCAGAGAGGTCCACATATGCACTTGCAGATTCTGCAGAAAGTGTGTTTCTAAACTGCTACATCGCAAGGAATGTTCAGATCTGTGAGTTCAACTCAATCATCCCAAAGAATTTTCTGAGAAAGCTTCTGTCTAGATGTCGTGTGAAGATATACCCGTTTCGAACGAAGGACACAGAGTGGTCCAAATATCCACTTGTAGATCCTGCAAAAAGAGTGTTTCAAACGTGAACTTTGAAAGGAAAGTTCAACTCTGGGATTTGAATGCAAACATCACAAAGAAGATTTCTGAGACTGCTTCTGTATAGTTTTTATGTGAAGATGATTCCGTTTCCAACGAAATCTTCAAAGAGGTCTACATGTCCCCTTGCAGATGCCACAGAAAGAGAGTTTCAAAACTGCGCTCTCAAAAGGAGTGTTCAACTCCGTGAGTTGAATGCAGTCATCACAGAGAAGCTTCTGAGAATGCTTCTATCTAGTATTTAGGTGAAGATATTTCCTTTTCCACCACAAACCACAAAGCCCTCCAAACGTCCACTTGCAGATTCTAGAGAAACAGTGTCTCATAGCTGCTCTTTCCAAAGGAAAGTTCAACTCTGGGAGTTGAATACAAACATCACCAAAATGTTCCTGAGAATGCATCTGTCTAGTTTTTCTATGAAGCTATTCCCTTTACTACCACAGGCCTCAAAGCGCTCCAAATCTCCACTTGCACATTCCACAACAAGAGTGTTTCCAAACTGCTCTATCAATAGGAATGTTCAACTCTGTGAGGTGAATGCAATCATCACAAAGCAGTTTCTGAGAATGCTTCCGTTTAGTTAGGTGCAGTTATCCCGTTTCCAACGAAATCCTCAGAGAGGTCCAAATATCCACTTGTAGATTCTACAAAAAGTGTGTCTCAAACCTGCTCCATCCAAAGGAATGTTCAGCTCTGTGAGTTCAACTCAATCATCACAAAGTATTTTCTGAGAATGCTTCTGTCTAGATTTTATGCGAAGATATACCCGTTTCGAACGAAGGCCACAGAGTGGTCCAAATAGCCACTTGCAGATCCTACAAAAAGAGTGTTTCAAACCTGAACTATCAAAGGAAGGTTCAACTCTGGGATTTCAATGCAAACATCACCAAGAAGTTTCTGAGAATGCTTCTGTTTAGTTTTTATGTGAAGATATTCCCGTTTCCAAAGACATCTTCGGAGAGGTCCACATATCCACTTGCAGATTCCACAAAAAGAGAGTTTCAACACTGCTCTATCCATAGGAGGGTTCAACTCTGTGAGTTGAATGCAATCATCACAGAGAAGTTTCTGAGAAGGCTTCTCTCCAGTTTTTATGTGACCATAATTCGTTTTCCACCACAGGCCTGAAAGCGCTCCAAATGTCCACTTGCAGACACTACGAAAAGCATGTTTCAGAACTACTCTATGAAAAGCAACGTGAAACTCTGGGAGTTGAACACAAACATCACAGAGAAGTTTCTGAGAATGCTTCTGTTTAGCTTTTCTGTGAATGTTCTTCCGTTTCCAACGAAATCTTCAAAATAGGTCCAAATATCCACTTGCAGATTCCACAGAAAGAGTGATTGGAAACTGCTGTTTGAAAAGGAACCTTCAACTCTGTGAGTTGAATGCAATCATCACAAAGAAGTTTCTGACAATGCTTCTATCTAGCTTTTACGGGAAGATAATTCCTTTTCCACCACAGGCCTCAAAGCCCTGCAAATCTCCACTTGCACATTCTGGAAAAAGAGTGTTTCAAAGCTTCTCTCTCGAAAGGAAAGTTCAACTCTGTGAGTTGAATGCAAGCATCACAAAGAAGTTTCTGAGAATGCTACTGTCTAGCTTTTATATGAAGCTATTTCCTTTACTACCATAGGCCTCAAAGCGGTCCATATCTCCACTTGCAGATTCTACACAAAGAGAGTTTCCAAACTGCTCTGTCAAAGGGAATGTTCAACTCTGTGACTTGAATGCAATCATCACAAAGTAGTTTCTGAGAATGCTTCTGTTTAGTTCTGTGCGGTTTATCCCGTTTCCAACGAAATCCTCAGAGAGGCCCAAATATCCACTTGCACATTCTACAAATAGTGTGTTTCGAAACTGCTCCATCCAAAGGAATGTTCAGCTCTGTGAGTTAAACTCAGTCGTCACCAAGAGTTTTCTGTGAATGCTTCTGTTTAGTTCTGTGCGGTTTATCCCGTTTCCAACGAAATCCTCAGAGAGGTCCAAATATCTACTTGCAGTTTCTACAGAAAGACCGTTTCAAACCTGAACTATCAAAGAAAGGTTCAACACTGTGAGTTGAATGCAAACATCACGAAGAAGGTTCTGAGAATGCTTCTGTTTAGTTCTGTGCAGTTTATCCCGTTTCCAACGAAATCCTCAGAGAAGACCAAATATCCACTTGCAGTTTCTACAAGAAGAGTGTTTCAAAGCTGAACTATCAAAGAAAGGTTCAGCACTGTGAGTTGAATGCAAACATCACGAAGAGGGTTCTGAGAATGCTTCTGTCTTCTTTTTATAGGAAGTTATTTCCTTTACTACGGTACTCCTCAAAGAGTGCAATTATCCCCTTGCAGTTTCTACAAAAAGAGTGTTTCAAACCTGAACTATCAAAGAAAGGTTCCACACTGTGAGTTGAATGCAGACATCACGAAGAAGGTTCTGAGAATGCTTCTGTTTAGTCAGCTGAAATTATCCCGTTTCCAACGAATTCCTCACAGAGGTCCAAATATGCACTTGCAGATTCTGCAGAAAGTGTGTTTCTAAACTGCTACATCGCAAGGAATGCTCAGCTCTGTGAGTTCAACTCAATCATCCCAAAGAATTTTCTGAGAAAGCTTCTGTCTAGATGTCATGTGAAGATATACCCGTTTCGATCGAAGGACACAGAGTGGTCCAAATATCCACTTGTAGATCCTGCAAAAAGAGTGTTTCAAACGTGAACTTTGAAAGGAAAGTTCAACTCGGGGATTTGAATGCAAACATCACAAAGAAGATTCTGAGACTGCTTCTGTGTAGTTTTTATGTGAAGATGATTCCGTTTCCAACGAAATCTTCAAAGAGGTCTACATGTCCCCTTGCAGATGCCACAGAAAGAGAGTTTCAAAACTGCGCTCTCAAAAGGAGTGTTCAACTCCGTGAGTTGAATGCAGTCATCACAGAGAAGCTTCTGAGGATGCTTCTATCTAGTATTTAGGTGAAGATATTTCCTTTTCCACCACAAACCACAAAGCCCTCCAAACGTCCACTTGCAGATTCTAGAAAAACAGTGTTTCATAGCTGCTCTTTCCAAAGGAAAGTTCAACTCTGGGAGTTGAATACAAACATCACCAAAAAGTTCCTGAGAATGCATCTGTCTAGTTTTTCTATGAAGCTATTCCCTTTACTACCATAGGCCTCAAAGCGCTCCAAATCTCCACTTGCACATTCCACAACAAGAGTGTTTCCAAACTGCTCTATCAATAGGAATGTTCAACTCTGTGAGGTGAATGCAATCATCACAAAGCAGTTTCTGAGAATGCTTCCGTTTAGTTAGGTGCAGTTATCCCGTTTCCAACGAAATCCTCAGAGAGGTCCAAATATCCACTTGTAGATTCTACAAAAAGTGTGTCTCAAACCTGCTCCATCCAAAGGAATGTTCAGCTCTGTGAGTTAAACTCAATCATCACAAAGTATTTTCTGAGAATGCTTCTGTCTAGATTTTATGCGAAGATGTACCCGTTTCGAACGAAGGCCACAGAGTGGTCCAAATATCCACTTGCAGATCCTACAAAAAGAGTGTTTCAAACCTGAACTATCAAAGGAAGGTTCAACTCTGGGATTTGAATGCAAACATCACCAAGAAGTTTCTGAGAATGCTTCTGTTTAGTTTTTATGTGAAGATATTCCCGTTTCCAAAGACATCTTCGGAGAGGTCCACATATCCACTTGCAGATTCCACAAAAAGAGAGTTTCAACACTGCTCTATCCATAGGAGGGTTCAACTCTGTGAGTTGAATGCAATCATCACAGAGAGGTTTCTGAGAAGGCTTCTCTCCAGTTTTTATGTGACCATAATTCGTTTTCCACCACAGGCCTGAAAGTGCTCCAAATGTCCCCTTGCAGACACTACGGAAAGCATGTTTCAGAACTACTCTATGAGAAACAATGTGACACTCTGGGAGTTGAACACAAACATCACAGAGAACTTTCTGAGAATGCTTCTGTTTAGCTTTTCTGTGAGGATTATCCCTTTTCCAACGAAATCTTCAAAGAGGTCCAAATATCCACTTGCAGATTCCACAGAAAGAGTGTTTGGAAGCTGCTGTTTGAAAAGCAACCTTCAACTCTGTGAGTTGAATGCAATCATCACAAAGAAGTTTCTGACAATGCTTCTATCTAGCTTTTACGGGAAGATAATTCCTTTTCCACCACAGGCCTCAAAGCCCTCCAAATGTCCACTTGCAGATTCTGGAAAAAGAGTGTTTCAAAGCTTCTCTCTCGAAAGGAAAGTTCAACTCTGTGAGTTGAATGTAAACATCACAAAGAAGTTTCTGAGAATGCTACTGTCTAGCTTTTATATGAAACTATTTCCTTTACTACCATAGTCCTCAAAGCATTCCATATCTCCACTTGCAGATTCTACACAAAGAGAGTTTCCAAACTGCTCTATCAAAGGGAATGTTCAGCTCTGTGACTTAAATGCAATCATCACAAAGTAGTTTCTCAGAATGCTTCTTTTTAGTTCTGTGCGGTTTATCCCGTTTCCAACGAAATCCTCAGAGAGGCCCAAATATCCACTTGCACATTCTACAAATAGTGTGTTTCGAAACTGCTCCATCCAAAGGAATGTTCAGCTCTGTGAGTTAAACTCAGTCGTCACCAAGAGTTTTCTGTGAATGCTTCTGTTTTAGTTCTGTGCGGTTTATCCCGTTTCCAACGAAATCCTCAGAGAGGTCCAAATATCTACTTGCAGTTTCTACAGAAAGACCGTTTCAAACCTGAACTATCAAAGAAAGGTTCAACACTGTGAGTTGAATGCAAACATCACGAAGAAGGTTCTGAGAATGCTTCTGTTTAGTTCTGTGCGGTTTATGCCGTTTCCAACGAAATCCTCAGAGAGGACCAAATATCCACTTGCAGTTTCTACAAAAAGATTGTTTCAAAGCTGAACTATCAAAGAAAGGTTCAGCACTGTGAGTTGAATGCAAACATCACGAAGAGGGTTCTGAGAATGCTTCTGTCTTCTTTTTATAGGAAGTTATTTCCTTTACTACGATAGGCCTCAAACAAGTGCAGTTATCCCCTTGCAGTTTCTACAAAAAGAGTGTTTCAAACCTGAACTATCAAAGAAAGGTTCCACACTGTGAGTTGAATGCAGACATCACGAAGAAGGTTCTGAGAATGCTTCTGTTTAGTCAGCTGAAATTATCCCGTTTCCAACGAATTCCTCAGAGAGGTCCAAATATGCACTTGCAGATTCTGCAGAAAGTGTGTTTCTAAACTGCTACATCGCAAGGAATGTTCAGCTCTGTGAGTTCCACTCAATCATCCCAAAGAATTTTCTGAGAAAGCTTCTGTCTAGATGTCGTGTGAAGATATACCCGTTTCGAACGAAGGACACAGAGTGGTCCAAATATCCACTTGTAGATCCTGCAAAAAGAGTGTTTCAAACGTGAACTTTGAAAGGAAAGTTCAACTCTGGGATTTGAATGCAAACATCACAAAGAAGATTCTGAGACTGCTTCTGTATAGTTTTTATGTGAAGATGATTCCGTTTCCAACGAAATCTTCAAAGAGGTCTACATGTCCCCTTGCAGATGCCAGAGAAAGAGAGTTTCAAAACTGCGCTCTCAAAAGGAGTGTTCAACTCCGTGAGTTGAATGCAGTCATCACAGAGAAGCTTCTGAGAATGCTTCTATCTAGTATTTAGGTGAAGATATTTCCTTTTCCACCACAAACCACAAAGCCCTCCAAACGTCCACTTGCAGATTCTAGAAAAAGAGTGTTTCATAGCTGCTCTTTGCAAAGGAAAGTTCAACTCTGGGAGTTGAATACAAACATCACCAAAAAGTTCCTGAGAATGCATCTGTCTAGTTTTTCTACGAAGCTATTCCCTTTACTACCATAGGCCTCAAAGCGCTCCAAATCTCCACTTGCACATTCCACAACAAGAGTGTTTCCAAACTGCTCTATCAATAGGAATGGTCAACTCTGTGAGGTGAATGCAATCATCACAAAGCAGTTTCTGAGAATGCTTCCGTTTAGTTCGGTGCAGTTATCCCGTTTCCAACGAAATCCTCAGAGAGGTCCAAATATCCACTTGTAGATTCTACAAAAAGTGTGTCTCAAACCTGCTCCATCCAAAGGAATGTTCAGCTCTGTGAGTTAAACTCAATCATCACAAAGTATTTTCTGAGAATGCTTCTGTCTAGATTTTATGCGAAGATGTACCCGTTTCGAACGAAGGCCACAGAGTGGTCCAAATATCCACTTGCAGATCCTACAAAAAGAGTGTTTCAAACCTGAACTATCAAAGGAAAGTTCAACTCTGGGATTTGAATGCAAACATCACCAAGAAGTTTCTGAGAATGCTTCTGTTTAGCTTTTATGTGAAGATATTCCCGTTTCCAAAGACATCTTCGGAGAGGTCCACATATCCACTTGCAGATTCCACAAAAAGAGAGTTTCAACACTGCTCTATCCATAGGAGGGTTCAACTCTGTGAGTTGAATGCAATCATCACAGAGAAGTTTCTGAGAAGGCTTTCTCTCCATTTTTATGTGACCATAATTCGTTTTCCACCACAGGCCTGAAAGCGCTCCAAATGTCCACTTGCAGACACTACGAAAAGCATGTTTCAGAACTACTCTATGAAAAGCAACGTGAAACTCTGGGAGTTGAACACAAACATCACAGAGAAGTTTCTGAGAATGCTTCTGTTTTAGTTCTGTGCGTTTTATCCCGTTTCCAACGAAATCCTCAGAGAGGCCCAAATATCCACTTGCAGATTCCACAGAAAGAGTGATTGGAAACTGCTGTTTGAAAAGGAACCTTCAACTCTGTGAGTTGAATGCAATCATCACAAAGAAGTTTCTGACAATGCTTCTATCTAGCTTTTACGGGAAGATAATTCCTTTTCCACCACAGGCCTCAAAGCCCTCCAAATGTCCACTTGCAGATTCTGGAAAAAGAGTGTTTCAAAGCTTCTCTCTCGAAAGGAAAGTTCAACTCTGTGAGTTGAATGCAAGCATCACAAAGAAGTTTCTGAGAATGCTACTGTCTGGCTTTTCTATGAAGGTATTTCCTTTACTACCATAGGCCTCAAAGCGGTCCATATCTCCACTTGCAGATTCTACACAAAGAGAGTTTCCAAACTGCTCTGTCAAAGGGAATGTTCAACTCTGTGACTTGAATGCAATCACCACAAAGTAGTTTCTGAGAATGCTTCTGTTTTTGTTCTGTGCGTTTTATCCCGTTTCCAACGAAATCCTCAGAGAGGCCCAAATATCCACTTGCAGATTCTACAAATAGTGTGTTTCGAAACTGCTCCATCCAAAGGAATGTTCAGCTCTGTGAGTTAAACTCAGTCGTCACCAAGAGTTTTCTGTGAATGCTTCTGTTTTAGTTCTGTGCGGTTTATCCCGTTTCCAACGAAATCCTCAGAGAGGACCAAACATCCACTTGCAGTTTCTACAAAAAGAGTGTTTCAAAGCTGCACTATCAAAGAAAGGTTCAGCACTGTGAGTTGAATGCAAACATCACGAAGAGGGCTCTGAGAATTCTTCTGTCTTCTTTCTATAGGAAGTTATTTCCTTTACTACGGTAGGCCTCAAAGAAGTGCAATTATCCCCTTGCAGTTTCTACAAAAAGAGTGTTTCAAACCTGAACTATCAAAGAAAGGTTCCACACTGTGAGTTGAATGCAGACATCACGAAGAAGGTTCTGAGAATGCTTCTGTTTAGTCGCTGAAATTATCCCGTTTCCAACGAATTCCTCAGAGAGGTCCAAATATGCACTTGCAGATTCTGCAGAAAGTGTGTTTCTAAACTGCTACATCGCAAGGAATGTTCAGCTCTGTGAGTTCCACTCAATCATCCCAAAGAATTTTCTGAGAAAGCTTCTGTCTAGATGTCGTGTGAAGATATACCCGTTTCGAACGAAGGACACAGAGTGGTCCAAATATCCACTTGTAGATCCTGCAAAAAGAGTGTTTCAAACGTGAACTTTGAAAGGAAAGTTCAACTCTGGGATTTGAATGCAAACATCACAAAGAAGATTCTGAGACTGCTTCTGTATAGTTTTGATGTGAAGATGATTCCGTTTCCAACGAAATCTTCAAAGAGGTCTACATGTCCCCTTGCAGATGCCACAGAAAGAGAGTTTCAAAACTGCGCTCTCAAAAGGAGTGTTCAACTCCGTGAGTTCAATGCAGTCATCACAGAGAAGCTTCTGAGAATGCTTCTATCTAGTATTTAGGTGAAGATATTTCCTTTTCCACCACAAACCACAAAGCCCTCCAAACGTCCACTTGCAGATTCTAGAAAAAGAGTGTTTCATAGCTGCTCTTTCCAAAGGAAAGTTCAACTCTGGGAGTTGAATACAAACATCACCAAAAAGTTCCTGAGAATGCATCTGTCTAGTTTTTCTATGAAGCTATTCCCTTTACTACCATAGGCCTCAAAGCACTCCAAATCTCCACTTGCACATTCCACAACAAGAGTGTTTCCAAACTGCTCTATCAATAGGAATGTACAACTCTGTGAGGTGAATGCAATCATCACAAAGCAGTTTCTGAGAATGCTTCCGTTTAGTTAGGTGCAGTTATCCCGTTTCCAACGAAATCCTCAGAGAGGTCCAAATATCCACTTGTAGATTCTACAAAAAGTGTGTCTCAAACCTGCTCCATCCAAAGGAATGTTCAGCTCTGTGATTTAAACTCAATCATCACAAAGTATTTTCTGAGAATGCTTCTGTCTAGATTTTATGCAAAGATATACCCGTTTCGAATGAAGGCCACAGAGTGGTCCAAATAGCCACTTGCAGATCCTACAAAAAGAGTGTTTCAAAGCTGAACTATCAAAGGAAGGTTCAACTCTGGGATTTGAATGCAAACATCACCAAGAAGTTTCTGAGAATGCTTCTGTTTAGTTTTTATGTGAAGATATTCCCGTTTCCAAAGACATCTTCGGAGAGGTCCACATATCCACTTGCAGATTCCACAAAAAGAGAGTTTCAACACTGCTCTATCCATAGGAGGGTTCAACTCTGTGAGTTGAATGCAATCATCACAGAGAAGTTTCTGAGAAGGCTTCTCTCCAGTTTTTATGTGACCATAATTCGTTTTCCACCACAGGCCTGAAAGCGCTCCAAATGTCCACTTGCAGACACTACGAAAAGCATGTTTCAGAACAACTCTATGAGAAGCAATGTGAAACTCTGGGAGTTGAACACAAACATCACAGAGAAGTTTCTGAGAATGCTTCTGTTTAGCTTTTCTGTGAAGATTCTCCCGTTTCCAACGAAATCTTCAAAGAGGTCGAAATATCCACTTGCAGATTCCACAGAAAGAGTGATTGGAAACTGCTGTTTGAAAAGGAACCTTCAACTCTGTGAGTTGAATGCAATCATCACAAAGAAGTTTCTGACAATGCTTCTATCTAGCTTTTACGGGAAGATAATTCCTTTTCCACCACAGGCCTCAAAGCCCTCCAAATGTCCACTTGCACATTCTGGAAAAAGAGTGTTTCAAAGCTTCTCTCTCGAAAGGAAAGTTCAACTCTGTGAGTTGAATGCAAGCATCACAAAGAAGTTTCTGAGAATGCTACTGTCTAGCTTTTATATGAAGCTCTTTCCTTTACTACCATAGGCCTCAAAGCGGTCCATATCTCCACTTGCAGATTCTACACAAAGAGAGTTTCCAAACTGCTCTGTCAAAGGGAATGTTCAACTCTGTGACTTGAATGCAATCATCACAAATTAGTTTCTGAGAATGCTTCTGTTTAGTTCTGTGCGGTTTATCCCGTTTCCAACGAAATCCTCAGAGAGGCCCAAATATCCACTTGCAGATTCTACAAATAGTGTATTTCGAAACTGCTCCATCCAAAGGAATGTTCAGCTCTGTGAGTTAAACTCAGTCGTCACCAAGAGTTTTCTGTGAATGCTTCTGTTTTAGTTCTGTGCGGTTTATCCCGTTTCCAACGAAATCCTCAAAGAGGTCCAAATATCTACTTGCAGTTTCTACAGAAAGACCGTTTCAAACCTGAACTATCAAAGAAAGGTTCAACACTGTGAGTTGAATGCAAACATCACGAAGAAGGTTCTGAGAATGCTTCTGTTTAGTTCTGTGCGGTTTATCCCGTTTCCAACGAAATCCTCAGAGAGGACCAAATATCCACTTGCAGTTTCTACAAGAAGAGTGTTTCAAAGCTGAACTATCAAAGAAAGGTTCAGCACTGTGAGTTGAATGCAAACATCACGAAGAGGGTTCTGAGAATGCTTCTGTCTTCTTTCTATAGGAAGTTATTTCCTTTACTACGGTAGGCCTCAAAGAAGTGCAATTATCCCCTTGCAGTTTCTACAAAAAGAGTGTTTCAAACCTGAACTATCAAAGAAAGGTTCCACACTGTGAGTTGAATGCAGACATCACGAAGAAGGTTCTGAGAATGCTTCTGTTTAGTCAGCTGAAATTATCCCGTTTCCAACGAATTCCTCAGAGAGGTCCACATATGCACTTGCAGATTCTGCAGAAAGGGTGTTTCTAAACTGCTACATCGCAAGGAGTGTTCAGCTACTGTTTGCTCAACTCAATCATCCCAAAGAATTTTCTGAGAAAGCTTCTGTCTAGATGTCATGTGAAGATATACCCGTTTCGAACGAAGGACACAGAGTGGTCCAAATATCCACTTGTAGATCCTGCAAAAAGAGTGTTTCAAACGTGAACTTTGAAAGGAAAGTTCAACTCGGGGATTTGAATGCAAACATCACAAAGAAGATTCTGAGACTGCTTCTGTATAGTTTTTATGTGAAGATGATTCCGTTTCCAACGAAATCTTCAAAGAGGTCTACATGTCCCCTTGCAGATGCCACAGAAAGAGAGTTTCAAAACTGCGCTCTCAAAAGGAGTGTTCAACTCCGTGAGTTGAATGCAGTCATCACAGAGAAGCGTCTGAGAATGCTTCTATCTAGTATTTAGGTGAAGATATTTCCTTTTCCACCACAAACCACAAAGCCCTCCAAACGTCCACTTGCAGATTCTAGAAAAAGAGTGTTTCATAGCTGCTCTTTCCAAAGGAAAGTTCAACTCTGGGAGTTGAATACAAACATCACCAAAAAGTTCCTGAGAATGCATCCTGTCTAGTTTTTCTATGAAGCTATTCCCTTTACTACCATAGGCCTCAAAGCGCTCCAAATCTCCACTTGCACATTCCACAACAAGAGTGTTTCCAAACTGCTCTATCAATAGGAATGTTCAACTCTGTGAGGTGAATGCAATCATCACAAAGCAGTTTCTGAGAATGCTTCCGTTTAGATAGGTGCAGTTATCCCGTTTCCAACGAAATCCTCAGAGAGGTCCAAATATCCACTTGTAGATTCTACAAAAAGTGTGTCTCAAACCTGCTCCATCCAAAGGAATGTTCAGCTCTGTGAGTTAAACTCAATCATCACAAAGTATTTTCTGAGAATGCTTCTGTCTAGATTTTATGCGAAGATATACCCGTTTCGAACGAAGGCCACAGAGTGGTCCAAATATCCACTTGCAGATCCTACAAAAAGAGTGTTTCAAACCTGAACTATCAAAGGAAGGTTCGACTCTGGGATTTGAATGCAAACATCACCAAGAAGTTTCTGAGAATGCTTCTGTTTAGTTTTTATGTGAAGATATTCCCGTTTCCAAAGACATCTTCGGAGAGGTCCACATATCCACTTGCAGATTCCACAAAAAGAGAGTTTCAACACTGCTCTATCCATAGGAGGGTTCAACTCTGTGAGTTGAATGCAATCATCACAGAGAAGTTTCTGAGAAGGCTTCTCTCCAGTTTTTATGGGACCATAATTCGTTTTCCACCACAGGCCTGAAAGCGCTCCAAATGTCCACTTGCAGACACTACGAAAAGCATGTTTCAGAACTACTCTATGAGAAGCAATGTGAAACTCTGGGAGTTGAACACAAACATCACAGAGAAGTTTCTGAGAATGCTTCTGTTTAGCTTTTCTGTGAAGATTCTCCCGTTTCCAACGAAATCTTCAAAGAGGTCCAAATATCCACTTGCAGATTCCACAGAAAGAGTGTTTGGAAACTGCTGTTTGTAAAGGAACCTTCATCTCTGTGAGTTGAATGCAATCATCACAAAGAAGTTTCTGACAATGCTTCTATCTAGCTTTTACGGGAAGATAATTCCTTTTCCACCACAGGCCTCAAAGCCCTCCAAATGTCCACTTGCAGATTCTGGAAAAAGAGTGTTTCGAAGCTTCTCTCTCGAAAGGAAAGTTCAACTCTGTGAGTTGAATGCAAGCATCACAAAGAAGTTTCTGAGAATGCTACTGTCTAGCTTTTATATGAAGCTATTTCCTTTACTACCATAGTCCTCAAAGCATTCCATATCTCCACTTGCAGATGCTACACAAAGAGAGTTTCCAAACTGCTCTGTCAGAGGGAATGTTCTGCTCTGTGACTTGAATGCAATCATCACGAAGTAGTTTCTGAGAATGCTTCTGTTTTAGTTCTGTGCGGTTTATCCCGTTTCCATCGAAATCCTCAGAGAGGCCCAAATATCCACTTGCAGATTCTACAAATAGTGTGTTTCAAAACTGCTCCCTACAAAGGAATGTTCAGCTCTGTGAGTTAAACTCAGTCGTCACCAAGTGTTTTCTGTGAATGCTTCTGTTTAGTTCTGTGCGGTGTATCCCTTTTCCAACGAAATCCTCAGAGAGGACCAAGTATCCACTTGCAGTTTCTACAAAAAGAGTGTTTCAAAGCTGAACTATCAAAGAAAGGTTCAGCACTGTGAGTTGAATGCAAATATCACGAAGAAGGTTCTGAGAATGCTTCTGTCTTCTTTTTATAGGAAGTTATTTCCTTTACTACCGTAGGCCTCAAAGAAGTGCAATTATCCCCTTGAAGTCTCTACAAAAAGAGTGTTTCAAACCGGAACTATCAAAGAAAGGTTCCACACTGTGAGTTGAATGCAGACATCACGAAGAAGGTTCTGAGAATGCTTCTGTTTAGTCAGCTGAAATTATCCCGTTTCCAACGAATTCCTCAGAGAGGTCCAAATATGCACTTGCAGATTCTGCAGAAAGTGTGTTTCTAAACTGCTCCATCGCAAGGAATGTTCAGCTCTGTGAGTTCAACTCAATCATCCCAAAGAATTTTCTGAGAAAGCTTCTGTCTAGATGTCATGTGAAGATATACCCGTTTCGAACGAAGGACACAGAGTGGTCCAAATATCCACTTGTAGATCCTGCAAAAAGAGTGTTTCAAACGTGAACTTTGAAAGGAAAGTTCAACTCTGGGATTTGAATGCAAACATCACAAAGAAGATTCTGAGACTGCTTCTGTATAGTTTTTATGTGAAGATGATTCCGTTTCCAACGAAATCTTCAAAGAGGTCTACATGTCCCCTTGCAGATGCCACAGAAAGAAAGTTTCAAAACTGCGCTCTCAAAAGGAGTGTTCAACTCCGTGAGTTGAATGCAGTCATCACAGAGAAGCTTCTGAGAATGCTTCTATCTAGTATTTAGGTGAAGATATTTCCTTTTCCACCACAAACCACAAAGCCCTCCAAACGTCCACTTGCAGATTCTAGAAAAAGAGTGTTTCATAGCTGCTCTTTCCAAAGGAAAGTTCAACTCTGGGAGTTGAATACAAATATCACCAAAAAGTTCCTGAGAATGCATCTGTCTAGTTTTTCTATGAAGTTATTCCCTTTTCTAAAATAGGCCTCAAAGCGCTCCAAATCTCCACTTGCACATTCCACAACAGGAGTGTTTCCAAACTGCTCTATCAATAGGAATGTTCAACTCTGTGAGGTGAATGCAATCATCACAAAGCAGTTTCTGAGAATGCTTCCGTTTAGTTAGGTGCAGTTATCCCGTTTCCAACGAAATCCTCAGAGAGGTCCAAATATCCACTTGTAGATTCTACAAAAAGTGTGTCTCAAACCTGCTCCATCCAAAGGAATGTTCAGCTCTGTGAGTTGAACTCAATCATCACAAAGTATTTTCTGAGAATGCTTCTGTCTAGATTTTATGCGAAGATGTACCCGTTTCGAACGAAGGCCACAGAGTGGTCCAAATATCCACTTGCAGATCCTACAAAAAGAGTGTTTCAAACCTGAACTATCAAAGGAAGGTTCAACTCTGGGATTTGAATGCAAACATCACCAAGAAGTTTCTGAGAATGCTTCTGTTTAGTTTTTATGTGAAGATATTCCCGTTTCCAAAGACATCTTCGGAGAGGTCCACATATCCACTTGCAGATTCCACAAAAAGAGAGTTTCAACACTGCTCTATCCATAGGGAGGGTTCAACTCTGTGAGTTGAATGCAATCATCACAGAGAAGTTTCTGAGAAGGCTTCTCTCCAGTTTTTATGTGACCATAATTCGTTTTCCACCACAGGCCTGAAAGCGCTCCAAATGTCCACTTGTAGACACTACGAAAAGCATGTTTCAGAACTACTCTATGAAAAGCAATGTGAAACTCTGGGAGTTGAACACAAACATCACAGAGAAGTTTCTGAGAATGCTTCTGTTTAGCTTTTCTGTGAAGATTCTCCCGTTTCCAACGAAATCTTCAAAGAGGTCCAAATATCCACTTGCAGATTCCACAGAAAGAGTGTTTGGAAACTGCTGTTTGTAAAGGAACCTTCATCTCCGTGAGTTGAATGCAATCATCACAAAGAAGTTTCTGACAATGCTTCTATCTAGCTTTTACGGGAAGTTAATTCCTTTTCCACCACAGGCCTCAAAGCCCTCCAAATGTCCACTTGCAGATTCTGGAAAAAGAGTGTTTCAAAGCTTCTCTCTCGAAAGGAAAGTTCAACTCTGTGAGTTGAATGCAAGCATCACAAAGAAGTTTCTGAGAATGCTACTGTCTAGCTTTTATATGAAGCTATTTCCTTTACTACCATAGGCCTCAAAGCGGTCCATATCTCCACTTGCAGATTCTACACAAAGAGAGTTTCCAAACTGCTCTGTCAAAGGGAATGTTCAACTCTGTGACTTGAATGCAATCATCACAAAGTAGTTTCTGAGAATGCTTCTGTTTTAGTTCTGTGCGGTTTATCCCGTTTCCAACGAAATCCTCAGAGAGGCCCATATATCCACTTGCAGATTCTACAAATAGTGTGTTTTGAAACTGCTCCATCCAAAGGAATGTTCAGCTCTGTGAGTTAAACTCAGTCGTCACCAAGAGTTTTCTGTGAATGCTTCTGTTTAGTTCTGGGCGTTTTATCCCTTTTCCAACGAAATCCTCAGAGAGGACCAAATATCCATTTGCAGTTTCTACAAAAAGAGTGTTTCAAAGCTGAACTATCAAAGAAAGGTTCAGCACTGTGAGTTGAATGCAAACATCACGAAGAGGGTTCTGAGAATGCTTCTGTCTTCTTTTTATAGGAAGTTATTTCCTTTACTACGGTACTCCTCAAAGAGTGCAATTATCCCCTTGCAGTTTCTACAAAAAGAGTGTTTCAAACCTGAACTATCAAAGAAAGGTTCCACACTGTGAGTTGAATGCAGACATCACGAAGAAGGTTCTGAGAATGCTTCTGTTTAGTCAGCTGAAATTATCCCGTTTCCAACGAATTCCTCAGAGAGGTCCAAATATGCACTTGCAGATTCTGCAGAAAGTGTGTTTCTAAACTGCTACATCGCAAGGAATGTTCAGCTCTGTGAGTTCAACTCAATCAACCCAAAGAATTTTCTGAGAAAGCTTCTGTCTAGATGTCATGTGAAGATATACCCGTTTCGAACGTAGGACAAAGAGTGGTCCAAATATCCACTTGTAGATCCTGCAAAAAGAGTGTTTCAAACGTGAACTTTGAAAGGAAAGTTCAACTCTGGGATTTGAATGCAAACATCACAAAGAAGATTCTGAGACTGCTTCTGTATAGTTTTTATGTGAAGATGATTCCGTTTCCAACGAAATCTTCAAAGAGGTCTACATGTCCCCTTGCAGATGCCACAGAAAGAGAGTTTCAAAACTGCGCTCTCAAAAGGAGTGTTCAACTCCGTGAGTTGAATGCAGTCATCACAGAGAAGCTTCTGAGAATGCTTCTATCTAGTATTTAGGTGAAGATATTTCCTTTTCCACCACAAACCACAAAGCCCTCCAAACGTCCACTTGCAGATTCTAGAAAAAGAGTGTTTCATAGCTGCTCTTTCCAAAGGAAAGTTCAACTTCTGGGAGTTGAATACAAACATCACCAAAAGGTTCCTGAGAATGCATCTGTCTAGTTTTTCTATGAAGCTATTCCCTTTACTACCATAGGCCTCAAAGCGCTCCAAATCTCCACTTGCACATTCCACAACAAGAGTGTTTCCAAACTGCTCTATCAATAGGAATGTTCAACTCTGTGAGGTGAATGCAATCATCACAAAGCAGTTTCTGAGAATGCTTCCGTTTAGTTAGGTGCAGTTATCCCGTTTCCAACGAAATCCTCAGAGAGGTCCAAATATCCACTTGTAGATTCTACAAAAAGTGTGTCTCAAACCTGCTCCATCCAAAGGAATGTTCAGCTCTGTGAGTTCAACTCAATCATCACAAAGTATTTTCTGAGAATGCTTCTGTCTAGATTTTATGCGAAGATGTACCCGTTTCGAACGAAGGCCACAGAGTGGTCCAAATATCCACTTGCAGATCCTACAAAAAGAGTGTTTCAAACCTGAACTCTCAAAGGAAGGTTCAACTCTGGGATTTGAATGCAAACATCACCAAGAAGTTTCTGAGAATGCTTCTGTTTAGTTTTTGTGTGAAGATATTCCCGTTTCCAAAGACATCTTCGGAGAGGTCCACATATCCACTTGCAGATTCCACAAAAAGAGAGTTTCAACACTGCTCTATCCATAGGAGGGTTCAACTCTGTGAGTTGAATGCAATCATCACAGAGAAGTTTCTGAGAAGGCTTCTCTCCAGTTTTTATGTGACCATAATTCGTTTTCCACCACAGGCCTGAAAGCGCTCCAAATGTCCACTTGCAGACACTACGAAAAGCATGTTTCAGAACTACTCTATGAGAAGCAATGTGAAACTCTGGGAGTTGAACACAAACATCACAGAGAAGTTTCTGAGAATGCTTCTGTTTAGCTTTTCTGTGAAGATTCTCCCGTTTCCAACGAAATCTTCAAAGAGGTCCAAATATCCACTTGCAGATTCCACAGAAAGAGTGATTGGAAACTGCTCTTTGAAAAGGAACCTTCAACTCTGTGACTTGAATGCAATCATCACAAAGAAGTTTCTGACAATGCTTCTATCTAGCTTTTACGGGAAGATAATTCCTTTTCCACCACAGGCCTCAAAGCCCTCCAAATATCCACTTGCAGATTCTGGAAAAAGAGTGTTTCAAAGCTTCTCTCTCGAAAGGAAAGTTCAACTCTGTGAGTTGAATGCAAGCATCACAAAGAAGTTTCTGAGAATGCTGCTGTCTAGCTTTTATATGAAGCTATTTCCTTTACTACCATAGGCCTCAAAGCGGTCCATATCTCCACTTGCAGATTCTACGCAAAGAGAGTTTCCAAACTGCTCTGTCAAAGGGAATGTTCAACTCTGTGACTTGAATGCAATCATCACAAAGTATTTTCTGAGAATGCTTCTGTTTAGTTCTGTGCGGTTTATCCCGTTTCCAACGAAATCCTCAGAGAGGCCCCAATATCCACTTGCACATTCTACAAATAGTGTGTTTCGAAACTGCTCCATCCAAAGGAATGTTCAGCTCTGTGAGTTAAGCTCAGTCGTCACCAAGAGTTTTCTGTGAATGCTTCTGTTTTAGTTCTGTGCGGTTTATCCCGTTTCCAACGAAATCCTCAGAGAGGTCCAAATATCTACTTGCAGTTTCTACAGAAAGACCGTTTCAAACCTGAACTATCAAAGAAAGGTTCAACACTGTGAGTTGAATGCAAACATCACGAAGAAGGTTCTGAGAATGCTTCTGTTTAGTTCTGTGCGGTTTATCCCCTTTCGCAACGAAATCCTCAGAGAGGACCAAATATCCACTTGCAGTTTCTACAAGAAGAGTGTTTCAAAGCTGAACTATCAAAGAAAGGTTCAGCACTGTGAGTTGAATGCAAACATCACGAAGAGGGTTCTGAGAATGCTTCTGTCTTCTTTCTATAGGAAGTTATTTCCTTTACTACGGTAGGCCTCAAAGAAGTGCAATTATCCCCTTGCAGTTTCTACAAAAAGAGTGTTTCAAACCTGAACTATCAAAGAAAGGTTCCACACTGTGAGTTGAATGCAGACATCACGAAGAAGGTTCTGAGAATGCTTCTGTTTAGTCAGCTGAAATTATCCCGTTTCCAACGAATTCCTCAGAGAGGTCCACATATGCACTTGCAGATTCTGCAGAACGTGTGTTTCTAAACTGCTACATCGCAAGGAGTGTTCAGCTCTGTTTGCTGAACTGAATCATCCCAAAGAATTTTCTGAGAAAGCTTCTGTCTAGATGTCATGTGAAGATATACCCGTTTCGAACGTAGGACACAGAGTGGTCCAAATATCCACTTGTAGATCCTGCAAAAAGAGTGTTTCAAACGTGAACTTTGAAAGGAAAGTTCAACTCTGGGATTTGAATGCAAACATCACAAAGAAGATTCTGAGACTGCTTCTGTATAGTTTTTATGTGAAGATGATTCCGTTTCCAACGAAATCTTCAAAGAGGTCTGCATGTCCCCTTGCAGATGCCACAGAAAGAGAGTTTCAAAACTGCGCTCTCAAAAGGAGTGTTCAACTCCGTGAGTTGAATGCAGTCATCACAGAGAAGCTTCTGAGAATGCTTCTATCTAGTATTTAGGTGAAGATATTTCCTTTTCCACCACAAACCACAAAGCCCTCCAAACGTCCACTTGCAGATTCTAGAAAAAGAGTGTTTCATAGCTGCTCTTTCCAAAGGAAAGTTCAACTCTGGGAGTTGAATACAAACATCACCAAAAAGTTCCTGAGAATGCATCTGTCTAGTTTTTCTATGAAGCTATTCCCTTTACTACCATAGGCCTCAAAGCGCTCCAAATCTCCACTTGCACATTCCACAACAAGAGTGTTTCCAAACTGCTCTATCAATAGGAATGTTCAACTCTGTGAGGTGAGTGCAATCATCACAAAGCAGTTTCTGAGAATGCTTCCGTTTAGTTAGGTGCAGTTATCCCGTTTCCAACGAAATCCTCAGAGAGGTCCAAATATCCACTTGTAGATTCTACAAAAAGTGTGTCTCAAACCTGCTCCATCCAAAGGAATGTTCAGCTCTGTGATTTAAACTCAATCATCACAAAGTATTTTCTGAGAATGCTTCTGTCTAGATTTTATGCGAAGATATACCCGTTTCGAACGAAGGCCACAGAGTGGTCCAAATATCCACTTGCAGATCCTACAAAAAGAGTGTTTCAAACCTGAACTATCAAAGAAGGTTCAACTCTGGGATTTGAATGCAAACATCAC
Source organism: Homo sapiens (assembly GCF_000001405.40). NCBI lineage: Eukaryota > Metazoa > Chordata > Mammalia > Primates > Hominidae > Homo > Homo sapiens. Next base: position 25,829,905 of record NC_000017.11, on the reverse strand, counting down.
CAAGAAGTTTCTGAGAATGCTTCTGTTTAGTTTTTATGTGAAGATATTCCCGTTTCCAAAGACATCTTCGGAGAGGTCCACATATCCACTTGCAGATTCCACAAAAAGAGAGTTTCAACACTGCTCTATCCATAGGAGGGTTCAACTCTGTGAGTTGAATGCAATCATCACAGAGAAGTTTCTGAGAAGGCTTCTCTCCAGTTTTTATGTGACCATAATTCGTTTTCCACCACAGGCCTGAAAGCGCTCCAAATGTCCACTTGCAGACACTACGAAAAGCATGTTTCAGAACTACTCTATGAAAAGCAATGTGAAACTCTGGGAGTTGAACACAAACATCACAGAGAAGTTTCTGAGAATGCTTCTGTTTTAGTTCTGTGCGTTTTATCCCGTTTCCAACGAAATCCTCAGAGAGGCCCAAATATCCACTTGCAGATTCCACAGAAAGAGTGATTGGAAACTGCTGTTTGAAAAGGAACCTTCAACTCTGTGAGTTGAATGCAATCATCACAAAGAAGTTTCTGACAATGCTTCTATCTAGCTTTTACGGGAAGATAATTCCTTTTCCACCACAGGCCTCAAAGCCCTCCAAATGTCCACTTGCAGATTCTGGAAAAAGAGTGTTTCAAAGCTTCTCTCTCGAAAGGAAAGTTCAACTCTGTGAGTTGAATGCAAGCATCACAAAGAAGTTTCTGAGAATGCTACTGTCTAGCTTTTATATGAAGCTATTTCCTTTACTACCATAGTCCTCAAAGCATTCCATATCTCCACTTGCAGATTCTACACAAAGAGAGTTTCCAAACTGCTCTGTCAAAGGGAATGTTCAACTCTGTGACTTGAATGCAATCATCACAAAGTAGTTTCTGAGAATGCTTCTGTTTAGTTCTGTGCGGTTTATCCCGTTTCCAACGAAATCCTCAGAGAGGCCCAAATATCCACTTGCAGATTCTACAAATAGTGTGTTTCGAAATTGCCCCATCCAAAGGAATGTTCAGCTCTGTGAGTTAAACTCAGTCGTCACCAAGTGTTTTCTGTGAATGCTTCTGTTTAGTTCTGTGCGGTTTATGCCGTTTCCAACGAAATCCTCAGAGAGGACCAAATATCCACTTGCAGTTTCTACAAAAAGAGTGTTTCAAAGCTGAACTGTCAAAGAAAGGTTCAGCACTGTGAGTTGAATGCAGACATCACGAAGAAGGTTCTGAGAATGCTTCTGTTTAGTTCTGTGCGGTTTATCCCGTTTCCAACGAAATCCTCAGAGAGGTCCAAATATCCACTTGCAGTTTCTACAAGAAGAGTGTTTCAAAGCTGAACTATCAAAGAAAGGTTCAGCACTGTGAGTTGAATGCAAACATCACGAAGAGGGTTCTGAGAATGCTTCTGTCTTCTTTCTATAGGAAGTTATTTCCTTTACTACGGTAGGCCTCAAAGAAGTGCAATTATCCCCTTGCAGTTTCTACAAAAAGAGTGTTTCAAACCTGAACTATCAAAGAAAGGTTCCACACTGTGAGTTGAATGCAGACATCACGAAGAAGGTTCTGAGAATGCTTCTGTTTAGTCAGCTGAAATTATCCCGTTTCCAACGAATTCCTCAGAGAGGTCCAAATATGCACTTGCAGATTCTGCAGAAAGTGTGTTTCTAAACTGCTACATCGCAAGGAATGTTCAGCTCTGTGAGTTCCACTCAATCATCCCAAAGAATTTTCTGAGAAAGCTTCTGTCTAGATGTCATGTGAAGATATACCCGTTTCAAACGAAGGACACAGAGTGGTCCAAATATCCACTTGTAGATCCTGCAAAAAGAGTGTTTCAAACGTGAACTTGGAAAGGAAAGTTCAACTCTGGGATTTGAATGCAAACATCACAAAGAAGATTCTGAGACTGCTTCTGTATAGTTTTTATGTGAAGATGATTCCGTTTCCAACGAAATCTTCAAAGAGGTCTACATGTCCCCTTGCGGATGCCACAGAAAGAGAGTTTCAAAACTGCGCTCTCAAAAGGAGTGTTCAACTCCGTGAGTTGAATGCAGTCATCACAGAGAAGCTTCTGAGAATGCTTCTCTCTAGTATTTAGGTGAAGATATTTCCTTTTCCACCACAAACCACAAAGCCCTCCAAACGTCCACTTGCAGATCCTAGAAAAAGAGTGTTTCATAGCTGCTCTTTCCAAAGGAAAGTTCAACTCTGGGAGTTGAATACAAACATCACCAAAAAAGTTCCTGAGAATGCATCTGTCTAGTTTTTCTATGAAGCTATTCCCTTTACTACCATAGACCTCAAAGCGCTCCAAATCTCCACTTGCACATTCCACAACAAGAGTGTTTCCAAACTGCTCTATCAATAGGAATGTTCAACTCTGTGAGGTGAATGCAATCATCACAAAGCAGTTTCTGAGAATGCTTCCGTTTAGTTAGGTGCAGTTATCCCGTTTCCAACGAAATCCTCAGAGAGGTCCAAATATCCACTTGTAGATTCTACAAAAAGTGTGTCTCAAACCTGCTCCATCCAAAGGAATGTTCAGCTCTGTGAGTTCAACTCAATCATCACAAAGTATTTTCTGAGAATGCTTCTGTCTAGATTTTATGCGAAGATGTACCCGTTTCGAACGAAGGCCACAGAGTGGTCCAAATATCCACTTGCAGATCCTACAAAAAGAGTGTTTCAAATCTGAACTATCAAAGGAAGGTTCAACTCTGGGATTTGAATGCAAACATCACCAAGAAGTTTCTGAGAATGCTTCTGTTTAGTTTTTATGTGAAGATATTCCCGTTTCCAAAGACATCTTCGGAGAGGTCCACATATCCACTTGCAGATTCCACAAAAAGAGAGTTTCAACAATGCTCTATCCATAGGAGGGTTCAACTCTGTGAGTTGAATGCAATCATCACAGAGAAGTTTCTGAGAAGGCTTCTCTCCAGTTTTTATGTGACCATAATTCGTTTTCCACCACAGGCCTGAAAGCGCTCCAAATGTCCACTTGCAGACACTACGAAAAGCATGTTTCAGAACTACTCTATGAAAAGCAATGTGAAACTCTGGGAGTTGAACACAAACATCACAGAGAAGTTTCTGAGAATGCTTCTGTTTAGCTTTTCTGTGAAGATTATCCCGTTTCCAACGAAATCTTCAAAATAGGTCCAAATATCCACTTGCAGATTCCACAGAAAGAGTGATTGGAAACTGCTGTTTGAAAAGGAACCTTCAACTCTGTGAGTTGAATGCAATCATCACAAAGAAGTTTCTGACAATACTTCCATCTAGCTTTTACAGGAAGATAATTCCTTTTCCACCACAGGCCTCAAAGCCCTCCAAATCTCCACTTGCACATTCTGGAAAAAGAGTGTTTCAAAGCTTCTCTCTCGAAAGGAAAGTTCAACTCTGTGAGTTGAATGCAAGCATCACAAAGAAGTTTCTGAGAATGCTACTGTCTAGCTTTTATATGAAGCTATTTCCTTTACTACCATAGGCCTCAAAGCGGTCCATATCTCCACTTGCAGATTCTACACAAAGAGAGTTTCCAAACTGCTCTGTCAAAGGGAATGTTCAACTCTGTGACTTGAATGCAATCATCACAAAGTAGTTTCTGAGAATGCTTCTGTTTAGTTCTGTGCGGTTTATCCCGTTTCCAACGAAATCCTCAGAGAGGCCTAAATATCCACTTGCACATTCTACAAATAGTGTGTTTCGAAACTGCTCCATCCAAAGGAATGTTCAGCTCTGTGAGTTAAACTCAGTCGTCACCAAGAGTTTTCTGTGAATGCTTCTGTTTTAGTTCTGTGCGGGTTATCCCGTTTCCAACGAAATCCTCAGAGAGGTCCAAATATCTACTTGCAGTTTCTACAGAAAGACCGTTTCAAACCTGAACTATCAAAGAAAGGTTCAACACTTGTGAGTTGAATGCAAACATCACGAAGAAGGTTCTGAGAATGCTTCTGTTTAGTTCTGTGCGGTTTATCCCGTTTCCAACGAAATCCTCAGAGAGGTCCAAATATCCACTTGCAGTTTCTACAAGAAGAGTGTTTCAAAGCTGAACTATCAAAGAAAGGTTCAGCACTGTGAGTTGAATGCAAACATCACGAAGAGGGTTCTGAGAATGCTTCTGTCTTCTTTCTATAGGAAGTTATTTCCTTTACTACGGTAGGCCTCAAAGAAGTGCAATTATCCCCTTGCAGTTTCTACAAAAAGAGTGTTTCAAACCTGAACTATCAAAGAAAGGTTCCACACTGTGAGTTGAATGCAGACATCACGAAGAAGGTTCTGAGAATGCTTCTGTTTAGTCAGCTGAAATTATCCCGTTTCCAACGAATTCCTCAGAGAGGTCCAAATATGCACTTGCAGATTCTGCAGAAAGTGTGTTTCTAAACTGCTACATCGCAAGGAATGTTCAGCTCTGTGAGTTCCACTCAATCATTCCAAAGAATTTTCTGAGAAAGCTTCTGTCTAGATGTCATGTGAAGATATACCCGTTTCGAACGAAGGACACAGAGTGGTCCAAATATCCACTTGTAGATCCTGCAAAAAGACTGTTTCAAACGTGAACTTGGAAAGGAAAGTTCAACTCTGGGATTTGAATGCAAACATCACAAAGAAGATTCTGAGACTGCTTCTGTATAGTTTTTATGTGAAGATGATTCCGTTTCCAACGAAATCTTCAAAGAGGTCTACATGTCCCATTGCGGATGCCACAGAAAGAGAGTTTCAAAACTGCGCTCTCAAAAGGAGTGTTCAACTCCGTGAGTTGAATGCAGTCATCACAGAGAAGCTTCTGAGAATGCTTCTCTCTAGTATTTAGGTGAAGATATTTCCTTTTCCACCACAAACCACAAAGCCCTCCAAACGTCCACTTGCAGATTCTAGAAAAAGAGTGTTTCATAGCTGCTCTTTCCAAAGGAAAGTTCAACTCTGGGAGTTGAATACAATCATCACCAAAAAGTTCCTGAGAATGCATCTGTCTAGTTTTTCTATGAAGCTATTCCCTTTACTACCATAGGCCTCAAAGCGCTCCAAATCTCCACTTGCACATTCCACAACAAGAGTGTTTCCAAACTGCTCTATCAATAGGAATGTTCAACTCTGTGAGGTGAATGCAATCATCACAAAGCAGTTTCTGAGAATGCTTCCGTTTAGTTAGGTGCAGTTATCCCGTTTCCAACGAAATCCTCAGAGAGGTCCAAATATCCACTTGTAGATTCTACAAAAAGTGTGTCTCAAACCTGCTCCATCCAAAGGAATGTTCAGCTCTGTGAGTTCAACTCAATCATCACAAAGTATTTTCTGAGAATGCTTCTGTCTAGATTTTATGCGAAGATATACCCGTTTCGAACGAAGGCCACAGAGTGGTCCAAATAGCCACTTGCAGATCCTACAAAAAGAGTGTTTCAAACCTGAACTATCAAAGGAAGGTTCAACTCTGGGATTTGAATGCAAACATCACCAAGAAGTTTCTGAGAATGCTTCTGTTTAGTTTTTATGTGAAGATATTCCCGTTTCCAAAGACATCTTCGGAGAGGTCCACATATCCACTTGCAGATTCCACAAAAAGAGAGTTTCAACACTGCTCTATCCATAGGAGGGTTCAACTCTGTGAGTTGAATGCAATCATCACAGAGAAGTTTCTGAGAAGGCTTCTCTCCAGTTTTTATGTGACCATAATTCGTTTTCCACCACAGGCCTGAAAGCGCTCCAAATGTCCACTTGCAGACACTACGAAAAGCATGTTTCAGAACTACTCTATGAAAAGCAACGTGAAACTCTGGGAGTTGAACACAAACATCACAGAGAAGTTTCTGAGAATGCTTCTGTTTCGCTTTTCTGTGAAGATTCTCCCGTTTCCAACGAAATCTTCAAAGAGGTCCAAATATCCACTTGCAGATTCCACAGAAAGAGTGTTTGGAAACTGCTGTTTGTAAAGGAACCTTCATCTCTGTGAGTTGAATGCAATCATCACAAAGAAGTTTCTGACAATGCTTCTATCTAGCTTTTACGGGAAGTTAATTCCTTTTCCACCACAGGCCTCAAAGCCCTCCAAATGTCCACTTGCAGATTCTGGAAAAAGAGTGTTTCAAAGCTTCTCTCTCGAAAGGAAAGTTCAACTCTGTGAGTTGAATGCAAGCATCACAAAGAAGTTTCTGAGAATGCTACTGTCTAGCTTTTATATGAAGCTATTTCCTTTACTACCATAGGCCTCAAAGCGGTCCATATCTCCACTTGCAGATTCTACACAAAGAGAGTTTCCAAACTGCTCTGTCAAAGGGAATGTTCAACTCTGTGACTTGAATGCAATCATCACAAAGTAGTTTCTGAGAATGCTTCTGTTTAGTTCTGTGCGGTTTATCCCGTTTCCAACGAAATCCTCAGAGAGGCCCAAATATCCACTTGCACATTCTACAAATAGTGTGTTTCGAAACTGCTCCATCCAAAGGAATGTTCAGCTCTGTGAGTTGAACTCAGTCGTCACCAAGAATTTTCTGTGAATGCTTCTGTTTTAGTTCTGTGCGGTTTATCCCGTTTCCAACGAAATCCTCAGAGAGGTCCAAATATCTACTTGCAGTTTCTACAGAAAGACCGTTTCCAACATGAACTATCAAAGAAAGGTTCAACACTGTGAGTTGAATGCAAACATCACGAAGAAGGTTCTGAGAATGCTTCTGTTTAGTTCTGTGCGGTTTATCCCGTTTCCAACGAAATCCTCAGAGAGGACCAAATATCCACTTGCAGTTTCTACAAGAAGAGTGTTTCAAAGCTGAACTATCAAAGAAAGGTTCAGCACTGTGAGTTGAATGCAAACATCACGAAGAGGGTTCTGAGAATGCTTCTGTCTTCTTTTTATAGGAAGTTATCTCCTTTACTACGGTAGGCCTCAAAGAAGTGCAATGATCCCCTTGCAGTTTCTACAAAAAGAGTGTTTCAAACCTGAACTATCAAAGAAAGGTTCCACACTGTGAGTTGAATGCAGACATCACGAAGAAGGTTCTGAGAATGCTTCTGTTTAGTCAGCTGAAATTATCCCGTTTCCAACGATTTCCTCAGAGAGGTCCACATATGCACTTGCAGATTCTGCAGAAAGTGTGTTTCTAAACTGCTACATCGCAAGGAGTGTTCAGCTCTGTTTGCTCAACTCAATCATCCCAAGGAATTTTCTGAGAAAGCTTCTGTCTAGATGTCATGTGAAGATATACCCGTTTCGAACGAAGGACACAGAGTGGTCCAAATATCCACTTGCAGATCCTGCAAAAAGAGTGTTTCAAACGTGAACTTGGAAAGGAAAGTTCAACTCTGGGATTTGAATGCAAACATCACAAAGAAGATTCTGAGACTGCTTCTGTATAGTTTTGATGTGAAGATGATTCCGTTTCCAATGAAATCTTCAAAGAGGTCTACATGTCCCCTTGCAGATGCCACAGAAAGAGAGTTTCAAAACTGCGCTCTCAAAAGGAGTGTTCAACTCCGTGAGTTGAATGCAGTCATCACAGAGAAGCTTCTGAGAATGCTTCTATCTAGTATTTAGGTGAAGATATTTCCTTTTCCACCACAAACCACAAAGCCCTCCAAACGTCCACTTGCAGATTCTAGAAAAAGAGTGTTTCATAGCTGCTCTTTCCAAAGGAAAGTTCAACTCTGGGAGTTGAATACAAACATCACCAAAAAGTTCCTGAGAATGCATCTGTCTAGTTTTTCTATGAAGCTATTCCCTTTACTACCATAGGCCTCAAAGCGCTCCAAATCTCCACTTGCACATTCCACAACAAGAGTGTTTCCAAACTGCTCTATCAATAGGAATGTTCAACTCTGTGAGGTGAATGCAATCATCACAAAGCAGTTTCTGAGAATGCTTCCGTTTAGTTAGGTGCAGTTATCCCGTTTCCAACGAAATCCTCAGAGAGGTCCAAATATCCACTTGTAGATTCTACAAAAAGTGTGTCTCAAACCTGCTCCATCCAAAGGAATGGTCAGCTCTGTGATTTAAACTCAATCATCACAAAGTATTTTCTGAGAATGCTTCTGTCTAGATTTTATGCGAAGATATACCCGTTTCGAACGAAGGCCACAGAGTGGTCCAAATAGCCACTTGCAGATCCTACAGAAAGAGTGTTTCAAACCTGAACTATCAAAGGAAGGTTCAACTCTGGGATTTGAATGCAAACATCACCAAGAAGTTTCTGAGAATGCTTCTGTTTAGTTTTTATGTGAAGATATTCCCGTTTCCAAAGACATCTTCGGAGAGGTCCACATGTCCACTTGCAGATTCCACAAAAAGAGAGTTTCAACACTGCTCTATCCATAGGAGGGTTCAACTCTGTGAGTTGAATGCAATCATCACAGAGAAGTTTCTGAGAAGGCTTCTCTCCAGTTTTTATGTGACCCTAATTCGTTTTCCACCACAGGCCTGAAAGCGCTCCAAATGTCCACTTGCAGACACTACGAAAAGCATGTTTCAGAACTACTCTATGAAAAGCAATGTGAAACTCTGGGAGTTGAACACAAACATCACAGAGAAGTTTCTGAGAATGCTTCTGTTTTAGTTCTGTGCGTTTTATCCCGTTTCCAACGAAATCCTCAGAGAGGCCCAAATATCCACTTGCAGATTCCACAGAAAGAGTGATTGGAAACTGCTGTTTGAAAAGGAACCTTCAACTCTGTGAGTTGAATGCAATCATCACAAAGAAGTTTCTGACAATGCTTCTGTTTTAGTTCTGTGCGGTTTATCCCGTTTCCAACGAAATCCTCAGAGAGGACCAAACATCCACTTGCAGTTTCTACAAAAAGAGTGTTTCAAAGCTGCACTATCAAAGAAAGGTTCAGCACTGTGAGTTGAATGCAAACATCACGAAGAGGGCTCTGAGAATTCTTCTGTCTTCTTTTTATAGGAAGTTATTTCCTTTACTACAGTACTCCTCAAAGAGTGCAATTATCCCCTTGCAGTTTCTACAAAAAGAGTGTTTCAAACCTGAACTATCAAAGAAAGGTTCCACACTGTGAGTTGAATGCAGACATCACGAAGAAGGTTCTGAGAATGCTTCTGTTTAGTCAGCTGAAATTATCCCGTTTCCAACGAATTCCTCAGAGAGGTCCAAATATGCACTTGCAGATTCTGCAGAAAGTGTGTTTCTAAACTGCTACATCGCAAGGAATGCTCAGCTCTGTGAGTTCAAATCAATCATCCCAAACAATTTTCTGAGAAAGCTTCTGTCTAGATGTCATGTGAAGATATACCCGTTTCGAACGAAGGACTCAGAGTGGTCCAAATATCCACTTGTAGATCCTGCAAAAAGAGTGTTTCAAACGTGAACTTTGAAAGGAAAGTTCAACTCTGGGATTTGAATGCAAACATCACAAAGAAGATTCTGAGACTGCTTCTGTATAGTTTTTATGTGAAGATGATTCCGTTTCCAACGAAATCTTCAAAGAGGTCTACATGTCCCCTTGCAGATGCCACAGAAAGAGAGTTTCAAAACTGCGCTCCCAAAAGGAGTGTTCAACCCCGTGAGTTGAATGCAGTCATCACAGAGAAGCTTCTGAGAATGCTTCTATCTAGTATTTAGGTGAAGATATTTCCTTTTCCACCACAAACCACAAAGCCCTCCAAACGTCCACTTGCAGATTCTAGAAAAAGAGTGTTTCATAGCTGCTCTTTCCAAAGGAAAGTTCAACTCTGGGAGTTGAATACAAACATCACCAAAAAGTTCCTGAGAATGCATCTGCCTTGTTTTTCTATGAAGCTATTCCCTTTACTACCATAGGCCTCAAAGCGCTCCAAATCTCCACTTGCACATTCCACAACAAGAGTGTTTCCAAACTGCTCTATCAATAGGAATGTTCAACTCTGTGAGGTGAATGCAATCATCACAAAGCAGTTTCTGAGAATGCTTCCGTTTAGTTAGGTGCAGTTATCGCGTTTCCAACGAAATCCTCAGAGAGGTCCAAATATCCACTTGTAGATTCTACAAAAAGTGTGTCTCAAACCTGCTCCATCCAAAGGAATGTTCAGCTCTGTGAGTTAAACTCAATCATCACAAAGTATTTTCTGAGAATGCTTCTGTCTAGATTTTATGCGAAGATATACCCGTTTCGAACGAAGGCCACAGAGTGGTCCAAATATCCACTTGCAGATCCTACAAAAAGAGTGTTTCAAACCTGAACTATCAAAGGAAGGTTCAACTCTGGGATTTGAATGCAAACATCACCAAGAAGTTTCTGAGAATGCTTCTGTTTAGTTTTTATGTGAAGATATTCCCGTTTCGAAAGACGTCTTCGGAGAGGTCCACGTATCCACTTGCAGATTCCACAAAAAGAGAGTTTCAACACTGCTCTATCCATAGGAGGGTTCAACTCTGTGAGTTGAATGCAATCATCACAGAGAAGTTTCTGAGAAGGCTTCTCTCCAGTTTTTATGTGACCATAATTCGTTTTCCACCACAGGCCTGAAAGCGCTCCAAATGTCCACTTGTAGACACTACGAAAAGCATGTTTCAGAACTACTCTATGAAAAGCAATGTGAAACTCTGGGAGTTGAACACAAACATCACAGAGAAGTTTCTGAGAATGCTTCTGTTTAGCTTTCCTGTGAAGATTCTCCCGTTTCCAACGAAATCTTCAAAATAGGTCCAAATATCCACTTGCAGATTCCACACAAAGAGTGATTGGAAACTGCTCTTTGAAAAGGAACCTTCAACTCTGTGAGTTGAATGCAATCATCACAAAGAAGTTTCTGACAATGCTTCTATCTAGCTTTTACGGGAAGATAATTCCTTTTCCACCACAGGCCCCAAAGCCCTCCAAATGTCCACTTGCAGATTCTGGAAAAAGAGTGTTTCAAAGCTTCTCTCTCGAAAGGAAAGTTCAACTCTGTGAGTTGAATGCAAGCATCACAAAGAAGTTTCTGAGAATGCTACTGTCTAGCTTTTATATGAAGCTATTTCCTTTACTACCATAGGCCTCAAAGCGGTCCATATCTCCACTTGCAGATTCTACACAAAGAGAGTTTCCAAACTGCTCTGTCAAAGGGAATGTTCAACTCTGTGACTTGAATGCAATCATCACAAAGTAGTTTCTGAGAATGCTTCTGTTTAGTTCTGTGCGGTTTATCCCGTTTCCAACGAAATCCTCAGAGAGGCCCACATATCCACTTGCACCTTCTAGAAATAGTGTGTTTCGAAACTGCTCCATCCAAAGGAATGTTCAGCTCTGTGAGTTAAACTCAGTCGTCACCAAGAGTTTTCTGTGAATGCTTCTGTTTTAGTTCTGTGCGGTTTATCCCGTTTCCAACGAAATCCTCAGAGAGGTCCAAATATCTACTTGCAGTTTCCACAGAAAGACCGTTTCAAACCTGAACTATCAAAGAAAGGTTCAACACTGTGAGTTGAATGCAAACATCACGAAGAAGGTTCTGAGAATGCTTCTGTTTAGTTCTGGGCGGTTTATCCCGTTTCCAACGAAATCCTCAGAGAGGACCAAATATCCACTTGCAGTTTCTACAAGAAGAGTGTTTCAAAGCTGAACTATCAAAGAAAGGTTCAGCACTGTGAGTTGAATGCAAACATCACGAAGAGGGTTCTGAGAATGCTTCTGTCTTCTTTCTATAGGAAGTTATTTCCTTTACTACGGTAGGCCTCAAAGAAGTGCAATTATCCCCTTGCAGTTTCTACAAAAAGAGTGTTTCAAACCTGAACTATCAAAGAAAGGTTCCACACTGTGAGTTGAATGCAGACATCACGAAGAAGGTTCTGAGAATGCTTCTGTTTAGTCAGCTGAAATTATCCCGTTTCCAACGAATTCCTCAGAGAGGTCCAAATATGCACTTGCAGATTCTGCAGAAAGTGTGTTTCTAAACTGCTCCATCGCAAGGAATGTTCAGCTCTGTGAGTTCCACTCAATCATCCCAAAGAATTTTCTGAGAAAGCTTCTGTCTAGATGTCATGTGAAGATATACCCGTTTCGAACGAAGGACACAGAGTGGTCCAATTATCCAGTTGTAGATCCTGCAAAAAGAGTGTTTCAAACGTGAACTTTGAAAGGAAAGTTCAACTCTGGGATTTGAATGCAAACATCACAAAGAAGATTCTGAGACTGCTTCTGTATAGTTTTTATGTGAAGATGATTCCGTTTCCAACGAAATCTTCAAAGAGGTCTACATGTCCCCTTGCAGATGCCACAGAAAGAGAGTTTCAAAACTGCGCTCTCAAAAGGAGTGTTCAACTCCGTGAGTTGAATGCAGTCATCACAGAGAAGCTTCTGAGAATGCTTCTATCTAGTATTTAGGTGAAGATATTTCTTTTTCCACCACAAACCACAAAGCCCTCCAAACGTCCACTTGCAGATTCTAGAAAAAGAGTGTTTCATAGCTGCTCTTTCCAAAGGAAAGTTCAACTCTGGGAGTTGAATACAAACATCACCAAAAAGTTCCTGAGAATGCATCTGCCTAGTTTTTCTATGAAGCTATTCCCTTTACTACCATAGGCCTCAAAGCGCTCCAAATCTCCACTTGCACATTCCACAACAAGAGTGTTTCCAAACTGCTCTATCAATAGGAATGTTCAACTCTGTGAGGTGAATGCAATCATCACAAAGCAGTTTCTGAGAATGCTTCCGTTTAGTTAGGTGCAGTTATCGCGTTTCCAACGAAATCCTCAGAGAGGTCCAAATATCCACTTGTAGATTCTACAAAAAGTGTGTCTCAAACCTGCTCCATCCAAAGGAATGTTCAGCTCTGTGAGTTAAACTCAATCATCACAAAGTATTTTCTGAGAATGCTTCTGTCTAGATTTTATGCGAAGATATACCCGTTTCGAACGAAGGCCACAGAGTGGTCCAAATATCCACTTGCAGATCCTACAAAAAGAGTGTTTCAAACCTGAACTATCAAAGGAAGGTTCAACTCTGGGATTTGAATGCAAACATCACCAAGAAGTTTCTGAGAATGCTTCTGTTTAGTTTTTATGTGAAGATATTCCCGTTTCCAAAGACATCTTCGGAGAGGTCCACATATCCACTTGCAGATTCCACAAAAAGAGAGTTTCAACACTGCTCTATCCATAGGAGGGTTCAACTCTGTGAGTTGAATGCAATCATCACAGAGAAGTTTCTGAGAAGGCTTCTCTCCAGTTTTTATGTGACCATAATTCGTTTTCCACCACAGGCCTGAAAACGCTCCAAATGTCCACTTGTAGACACTACGAAAAGCATGTTTCAGAACTACTCTATGAAAAGCAATGTGAAACTCTGGGAGTTGAACACAAACATCACAGAGAAGTTTCCTGAGAATGCTTCTGTTTAGCTTTTCTGTGAAGATTCTCCCGTTTCCAACGAAATCTTCAAAGAGGTCCAAATATCCACTTGCAGATTCCACAGAAAGAGTGATTGGAAACTGCTCTTTGAAAAGGAACCTTCAACTCTGTGAGTTGAATGCAATCATCACAAAGAAGTTTCTGACAATGCTTCTATCTAGCTTTTACGGGAAGATAATTCCTTTTCCACCACAGGCCTCAATGCCCTCCAAATGTCCACTTGCAGATTCTAGAAAAGAGTGTTTCAAAGCTTCTCTCTCGAAAGGAAAGTTCAACTCTGTGAGTTGAATGCAAGCATCACAAAGAAGTTTCTGAGAATGCTACTGTCTAGCTTTTATATGAAGCTATTTCCTTTACTACCATAGGCCTCAAAGCGGTCCATATCTCCACTTGCAGATTCTACACAAAGAGAGTTTCCAAACTGCTCTGTCAAAGGGAATGTTCAACTCTGTGACTTGAATGCAATCATCACAAAGTAGTTTCTGAGAATGCTTCTGTTTTAGTTCTGTGCGTTTTATCCCGTTTCCAACGAAATCCTCAGAGAGGCCCAAATATCCACTTGCAGATTCTACAAATAGTGTGTTTCGAAACTGCTCCATCCAAAGGAATGTTCAGCTCTGTGAGTTAAACTCAGTCGTCACCAAGAGTTTTCTGTGAATGCTTCTGTTTTAGTTCTGTGCGGTTTATCCCGTTTCCAACGAAATCCTCAGAGAGGACCAAATATCCACTTGCAGTTTCTACAAAAAGAGTGTTTCAAAGCTGCACTATCAAAGAAAGGTTCAGCACTGTGAGTTGAATGCAAACACCACGAAGAGGGCTCTGAGAATTCTTCTGTCTTCTTTCTATAGGAAGTTATTTCCTTTACTACGGTAGGCCTCAAAGAAGTGCAATTATCCCCTTGCAGTTTCTACAAAAAGAGTGTTTCAAACCTGAACTATCAAAGAAAGGTTCCACACTGTGAGTTGAATGCAGACATCACGAAGAAGGGTGTCTGAGAATGCTTCTGTTTAGTCAGCTGAAATTATCCCGTTTCCAACGAATTCCTCAGAGAGGTCCAAATATGCACTTGCAGATTCTGCAGAAAGTGTGTTTCTAAACTGCTACATCGCAAGGAATGTTCAGCTCTGTGAGTTCCACTCAATCATCCCAAAGAATTTTCTGAGAAAGCTTCTGTCTAGATGTCATGTGAAGATATACCCGTTTCGAACGAAGGACACAGAGTGGTCCAAATATCCACTTGTAGATCCTGCAAAAAGAGTGTTTCAAACGTGAACTTTGAAAGGAAAGTTCAACTCTGGGATTTGAATGCAAACATCACAAAGAAGATTCTGAGACTGCTTCTGTATAGTTTTTATGTGAAGATGATTCCGTTTCCTACGAAATATTCAAAGAGGTCTACATGTCCCCTTGCAGATGCCACAGAAAGAGAGTTTCAAAACTGCGCTCTCAAAAGGAGTGTTCAACTCCGTGAGTTGAATGCAGTCATCACAGAGAAGCTTCTGAGAATGCTTCTATCTAGTATTTAGGTGAAGATATTTCCTTTTCCACCACAAACCACAAAGCCCTCCAAACGTCCACTTGCAGATTCTAGAAAAAGAGTGTTTCATAGCTGCTCTTTCCAAAGGAAAGTTCAACTCTGGGAGTTGAATACAAACATCACCAAAAAGTTACCTGAGAATGCATCTGTCTAGTTTTTCTATGAAGCTATTCCCTTTACTACCATAGGCCTCAAAGCGCTCCAAATCTCCACTTGCACATTCCACAACAAGATTGTTTCCAAACTGCTCTATCAATAGGAATGTTCAACTCTGTGAGGTGAATGCAATCATCACAAAGCAGTTTCTGAGAATGCTTCCGTTTAGTTAGGTGCAGTTATCCCGTTTCCAACGAAATCCTCAGAGAGGTCCAAATATCCACTTGTAGATTCTACAAAAAGTGTGTCTCAAACCTGCTCCATCCAAAGGAATGTTCAGCTCTGTGAGTTCAACTCAATCATCACAAAGTATTTTCTGAGAATGCTTCTGTCTAGATTTTATGCGAAGATGTACCCGTTTCGAACAAAGGCCACAGTGTGGTCCAAATATCCACTTGCAGATCCTACAAAAAGAGTGTTTCAAACCTGAACTATCAAAGGAAGGTTCAACTCTGGGATTTGAATGCAAACATCACCAAGAAGTTTCTGAGAATGCTTCTGTTTAGTTTTTATGTGAAGATATTCCCGTTTCCAAAGACATCTTCGGAGAGGTCCACATATCCACTTGCAGATTCCACAAAAAGAGAGTTTCAACACTGCTCTATCCATAGGAGGGTTCAACTCTGTGAGTTGAATGCAATCATCACAGAGAAGTTTCTGAGAAGGCTTCTCTCCAGTTTTTATGTGACCATAATTCGTTTTCCACCACAGGCCTGAAAGCGCTCCAAATGTCCACTTGCAGACACTACGAAAAGCATGTTTCAGAACTACTCTATGAAAAGCAACGTGAAACTCTGGGAGTTGAACACAAACATCACAGAGAAGTTTCTGAGAATGCTTCTGTTTTAGTTCTGTGCGTTTTATCCCGTTTCCAACGAAATCCTCAGAGAGGCCCAAATATCCACTTGCAGATTCCACAGAAAGAGTGATTGGAAACTGCTGTTTGAAAAGGAACCTTCAACTCTGTGAGTTGAATGCAATCATCACAAAGAAGTTTCTGACAATGCTTCTGTTTTAGTTCTGTGCGGTTTATCCCGTTTCCAACGAAATCCTCAGAGAGGACCAAACATCCACTTGCAGTTTCTACAAGAAGAGTGTTTCAAAGCTGCACTATCAAAGAAAGGTTCAGCACTGTGAGTTGAATGCAAACATCACGAAGAGGGCTCTGAGAATTCTTCTGTTTAGTTCTGTGCGGTTTATCCCGTTTCCAACGAAATCCTCAGAGAGGACAAAATATCCACTTGCAGTTTCTACAAGAAGAGTGTTTCAAAGCTGAACTATCAAAGAAAGGTTCAGCACTGTGAGTTGAATGCAAACATCACGAAGAGGGTTCTGAGAATGCTTCTGTCTTCTTTCTATAGGAAGTTATTTCCTTTACTACGGTAGGCCTCAAAGAAGTGCAATTATCCCCTTGCAGTTTCTACAAAAAGAGTGTTTCAAACCTGAACTATCAAAGAAAGGTTCCACACTGTGAGTTGAATGCAGACATCACGAAGAAGGTTCTGAGAATGCTTCTGTTTAGTCAGCTGAAATTATCCCGTTTCCAACGAATTCCTCAGAGAGGTCCAAATATGCACTTGCAGATTCTGCAGAAAGTGTGTTTCTAAACTGCTACATCGCAAGGAATGTTCAGCTCTGTGAGTTCCACTCAATCATCCCAAAGAATTTTCTGAGAAAGCTTCTGTCTAGATGTCCTGTGAAGATATACCCGTTTCGAACGAAGGACACAGAGTGGTCCAAATATCCACTTGTAGATCCTGCAAAAAGAGTGTTTCAAACGTGAACTTTGAAAGGAAAGTTCAACTCTGGGATTTGAATGCAAACATCACAAAGAAGATTCTGAGACTGCTTCTGTATAGTTTTTATGTGAAGATGATTCCGTTTCCAACGAAATCTTCAAAGAGGTCTACATGTCCCTTGCAGATGCCACAGAAAGAGAGTTTCAAAACTGCGCTCTCAAAAGGAGTGTTCAACTCCGTGAGTTGAATGCAGTCATCACAGAGAAGCTTCTGAGAATGCTTCTTTCTAGTATTTAGGTGAAGATATTTCCTTTTCCACCACAAACCACAAAGCCCTCCAAACGTCCACTTGCAGATTCTAGAAAAAGAGTGTTTCATAGCTGCTCTTTCCAAAGGAAAGTTCAACTCTGGGAGTTGAATACAAACATCACCAAAAAGTTCCTGAGAATGCATCTGTCTAGTTTTTCTATGAAGCTATTCCCTTTACTACCATAGGCCTCAAAGCGCTCCAAATCTCCACTTGCACATTCCACAAGAAGAGTGTTTCCAAACTGCTCTATCAATAGGAATGTTCAACTCTGTGAGGTGAATGCAATCATCACAAAGCAGTTTCTGAGAATGCTTCCGTTTAGTTAGGTGCAGTTACCCGTTTTCCAACGAAATCCTCAGAGAGGTCCAAATATCCCCTTGTAGATTCTATAAAAAGTGTGTCTCAAACCTGCTCCATCCAAAGGAATGTTCAGCTCTGTGAGTTCAACTCAATCATCACAAAGTATTTTCTGAGAATGCTTCTGTGTAGATTTTATGCGAAGATGTACCCGTTTCGAACGAAGGCCACAGAGTGGTCCAAATATCCACTTGCAGATCCTACAAAAAGAGTGTTTCAAACCTGAACTCTCAAAGGAAGTTTCAACTCTGGGATTTGAATGCAAACATCACCAAGAAGTTTCTGAGAATGCTTCTGTTTAGTTTTTATGTGAAGATATTCCCGTTTCCAAAGACATCTTCGGAGAGGTCCACATATCCACTTGCAGGTTCCACAAAAAGAGAGTTTCAACACTGCTCTATCCATAGGAGGGTTCAACTCTGTGAGTTGAATGCAATCATCACAGAGAAGTTTCTGAGAAGGCTTCTCTCCAGTTTTTTTGTGACCATAATTCGTTTTCCACCACAGGCCTGAAAGCGCTCCAAATGTCCACTTGCAGACACTACGAAAAGCATGTTTCAGAACTACTCTATGAAAAGCAACGTGAAACTCTGGGAGTTGAACACAAACATCACAGAGAAGTTTCTGAGAATGCTTCTGTTTAGCTTTTCTGTGAAGATTATCCCTTTTCCAACGAAATCTTCAAAGACGTCCAAATATCCACTTGCAGATTCCACAGAAAGAGTGTTTGGAAACTGCTGTTTGAAAAGGAACCTTCAACTCTGTGAGTTGAATGCAATCATCACAAAGAAGTTTCTGACAATGCTTCTATCTAGCTTTTACGGGAAGGTAATTCCTTTTCCACCACAGGCCTCAAAGCCCTCCAAATGTCCCCTTGCAGATTCTGGAAAAAGAGTGTTTCAAAGCTTCTCTCTCGAAAGGAATGTTCAACTCTGTGAGTTGAATGCAAGCATCACAAAGAAGTTTCTGAGAATGCTACTGTCTAGCTTTTATATGAAGCTATTTCCTTTACTACCATAGGCCTCAAAGCGGTCCATATCTCCACTTGCAGATTCTACACAAAGAGAGTTTCCAAACTGCTCTGTCAAAGGGAATGTTCAACTCTGTGACTTGAATGCAATCATCACAAAGTAGTTTCTGAGAATGCTTCTGTTTTAGTTCTGTGCGGTTTATCCCGATTCCAACGAAATCCTCAGAGAGGCCCAAATATCCACTTGCAGATTCTACAAATAGTGTGTTTCGAAACTGCTCCATCCAAAGGAATGTTCAGCTCTGTGAGTTAAACTCAGTCGTCACCAAGCGTTTTCTGTGAATGCTTCTGTTTAGTTCTGTGCGGTTTATCCCGTTTCCAACGAAATCCTCAGAGAGGACCAAATATCCACTTGCAGTTTCTACAAAAAGAGTGTTTCAAAGCTGAACTATCAAAGAAAGGTTCAGCAGTGTGAGTTGAATGCAAATATCACGAAGAAGGTTCTGAGAATGCTTCTGTTTAGTTCTGTGCGGTTTATCCCGTTTCCAACGAAATCCTCAGAGAGGACCAAATATCCACTTGCAGTTTCTA
Source organism: Homo sapiens (assembly GCF_000001405.40). Lineage (NCBI taxonomy): Eukaryota > Metazoa > Chordata > Mammalia > Primates > Hominidae > Homo > Homo sapiens. The sequence continues at coordinate 25,810,966 of NC_000017.11, read as the reverse complement.
CAAGAAGAGTGTTTCAAAGCTGAACTATCAAAGAAAGTTTCATCGCTGTGAGTTGAATGCAAACATCACGAAGAGGGTTCTGAGAATGCTTCTGTCTTCTTTCTATAGGAAGTTATTTCCTTTACTACGGTAGGCCTCAAAGAAGTGCAATTATCCCCTTGCAGTTTCTACAAAAAGAGTGTTTCAAACCTGAACTATCAAAGAAAGGTTCCACACTGTGAGTTGAATGCAGACATCACGAAGAAGGTTCTGAGAATGCTTCTGTTTAGTCAGCTGAAATTATCCCGTTTCCAACGAATTCCTCAGAGAGGTCCAAATATGCACTTGCAGATTCTGCAGAAAGTGTGTTTCTAAACTGCTACATCGCAAGGAATGTTCAGCTCTGTGAGTTCCACTCAATCATCCCAAAGAATTTTCTGAGAAAGCTTCTGTCTAGATGTCCTGTGAAGATATACCCGTTTCGAACGAAGGACACAGAGTGGTCCAAATATCCACTTGTAGATCCTGCAAAAAGAGTGTTTCAAACGTGAACTTTGAAAGGAAAGTTCAACTCTGGGATTTGAATGCAAACATCACAAAGAAGATTCTGAGACTGCTTCTGTATAGTTTTTATGTGAAGATGATTCCGTTTCCAACGAAATCTTCAAAGAGGTCTACATGTCCCTTTGCAGATGCCACAGAAAGAGAGTTTCAAAACTGCGCTCTCAAAAGGAGTGTTCAACTCCGTGAGTTGATTGCAGTCATCACAGAGAAGCTTCTGAGAATGCTTCTATCTAGTATTTAGGTGAAGATATTTCCTTTTCCACCACAAACCACAAAGCCCTCCAAACGTCCACTTGCAGATTCTAGAAAAAGAGTGTTTCATAGCTGCTCTTTCCAAAGGAAAGTTCAACTCTGGGAGTTGAATACAAACATCACCAAAAAGTTCCTGAGAATGCATCTGTCTAGTTTTTCTATGAAGCTATTCCCTTTACTACCATAGACCTCAAAGCGCTCCAAATCTCCACTTGCACATTCCACAAGAAGAGTGTTTCCAAACTGCTCTATCAATAGGAATGTTCAACTCTGTGAGGTGAATGCAATCATCACAAAGCAGTTTCTGAGAATGCTTCCGTTTAGTTAGGTGCAGTTATCCCGTTTCCAACGAAATCCTCAGAGAGGTCCAAATATCCACTTGTAGATTCTACAAAAAGTGTGTCTCAAACCTGCTCCATCCAAAGGAATGTTCAGCTCTGTGAGTTAAACTCAATCATCACAAAGTATTTTCTGAGAATGCTTCTGTCTAGATTTTATGCGAAGATATACCCGTTTCGAACGAAGGCCACAGAGTGGTCCAAATATCCACTTGCAGATCCTACAAAAAGAGTGTTTCAAACCTGAACTATCAAAGGAAGGTTCAACTCTGGGATTTGAATGCAAACATCACCAAGAAGTTTCTGAGAATGCTTCTGTTTAGTTTTTATGTGAAGATATTCCCGTTTCCAAAGACATCTTCGGAGAGGTCCACGTATCCACTTGCAGATTCCACAAAAAGAGAGTTTCAACACTGCTCTATCCATAGGAGGGTTCAACTCTGTGAGTTGAATGCAATCATCACAGAGAAGTTTCTGAGAAGGCTTCTCTCCAGTTTTTATGTGACCATAATTCGTTTTCCACCACAGGCCTGAAAGCGCTCCAAATGTCCACTTGTAGACACTACGAAAAGCATGTTTCAGAACTACTCTATGAAAAGCAATGTGAAACTCTGGGAGTTGAACACAAACATCACAGAGAAGTTTCTGAGAATGCTTCTGTTTTAGTTCTGTGCGTTTTATCCCGTTTCCAACGAAATCCTCAGAGAGGCCCAAATATCCACTTGCAGATTCCACAGAAAGAGTGATTGGAAACTGCTGTTTGAAAAGGAACCTTCAACTCTGTGAGTTGAATGCAATCATCACAAAGAAGTTTCTGACAATGCTTCTGTTTTAGTTCTGTGCGGTTTATCCCGTTTCCAACGAAATCCTCAGAGAGGACCAAACATCCACTTGCAGTTTCTACAAAAAGAGTGTTTCAAAGCTGCACTATCAAAGAAAGGTTCAGCACTGTGAGTTGAATGCAAACATCACGAAGAGGGCTCTGAGAATGCTTCTGTTTAGTTCTGTGCGGTTTATCCCGTTTCCAACGAAATCCTCAGAGAGGACCAAATATCCACTTGCAGTTTCTACAAGAAGAGTGTTTCAAAGCTGAACTATCAAAGAAAGGTTCAGCACTGTGAGTTGAATGCAAACATCACGAAGAGGGTTCTGAGAATGCTTCTGTCTTCTTTCTATAGGAAGTTATTTCCTTGACTACGGTAGGCCTCAAAGAAGTGCAATTATCCCCTTGCAGTTTCTACAAAAAGAGTGTTTCAAACCTGAACTATCAAAGAAAGGTTCCACACTGTGAGTTGAATGCAGACATCACGAAGAAGGTTCTGAGAATGCTTCTGTTTAGTCAGCTGAAATTATCCCGTTTCCAACGAATTCCTCAGAGAGGTCCAAATATGCACTTGCAGATTCTGCAGAAAGTGTGTTTCTAAACTGCTACATCGCAAGGAATGTTCAGCTCTGTGAGTTCCACTCAATCATCCCAAAGAATTTTCTGAGAAAGCTTCTGTCTAGATGTCATGTGAAGATATACCCGTTTCGAACGAAGGACACAGAGTGGTCCAAATATCCACTTGTAGATCCTGCAAAAAGAGTGTTTCAAACGTGAACTTTGAAAGGAAAGTTCAACTCTGGGATTTGAATGCAAACATCACAAAGAAGATTCTGAGACTGCTTCTGTATAGTTTTTATGTGAAGATGATTCCGTTTCCAACGAAATCCTCAAAGAGGTCTACATGTCCCCTTGCAGATGCCACAGAAAGAGAGTTTCAAAACTGCGCTCTCAAAAGGAGTGTTCAACTCTGTGAGTTGAATGCAGTCATCACAGAGAAGCTTCTGAGAATGCTTCTATCTAGTATTTAGGTGAAGATATTTCCTTTTCCACCACAAACCACAAAGCCCTCCAAACGTCCACTTGCAGATTCTAGAAAAAGAGTGTTTCATAGCTGCTCTTTCCAAAGGAAAGTTCAACTCTGGGAGTTGAATACAAACATCACCAAAAAGTTCCTGAGAATGCATCTGTCTAGTTTTTCTATGAAGCTATTCCCTTTACTACCATAGGCCTCAAAGCGCTCCAAATCTCCACTTGCACATTCCACAACAAGAGTGTTTTCAAACTGCTCTATCAATAGGAATGTTCAACTCTGTGAGGTGAATGCAATCATCACAAAGCAGTTTCTGAGAATGCTTCCGTTTAGTTAGGTGCAGTTATCCCGTTTCCAACGAAATCCTCAGAGAGGTCCAAATATCCACTTGTAGATTCTACAAAAAGTGTGTCTCAAACCTGCTCCATCCAAAGGAATGTTCACCTCTGTGAGTTCAACTCAATCATCACAAAGTATTTTCTGAGAATGCTTCTGTCTAGATATAATGCAAAGATGTACCCGTTTTGAACGAAGGCCACAGAGTGGTCCAAATATCCACTTGCAGATCCTACAAAAAGAGTGTTTCAAACCTGAACTATCAAAGGAAGGTTCAACTCTGGGATTTGAATGCAAACATCACCAAGAAGTTTCTGAGAATGCTTCTGTTTAGTTTTTATGTGAAGATATTCCCGTTTCCAAAGACATCTTCGGAGAGGTCCACATATCCACTTGCAGATTCCACAAAAAGAGAGTTTCAACACTTCTCTATCCATAGGAGGGTTCAACTCTGTGAGTTGAATGCAATCATCACAGAGAAGTTTCTGAGAAGGCTTCTCTCCAGTTTTTATGTGACCATAATTCGTTTTCCACCACAGGCCTGAAAGCGCTCCAAATGTCCACTTGCAGACACTACGAAAAGCATGTTTCAGAACTACTCTATGAAAAGCAACGTGAAACTCTGGGAGTTGAACACAAACATCACAGAGAAGTTTCTGAGAATGCTTCTGTTTTAGTTCTGTGCGTTTTATCCCGTTTCCAACGAAATCCTCAGAGAGGCCCAAATATCCACTTGCAGATTCCACAGAAAGAGTGATTGGAAACTGCTGTTTGAAAAGGAACCTTCAACTCTGTGAGTTGAATGCAATCATCACAAAGAAGTTTCTGACAATGCTTCTGTTTTAGTTCTGTGCGGTTTATCCCGTTTCCAACGAAATCCTCAGAGAGGACCAAACATCCACTTGCACTTTCTACAAAAAGAGTGTTTCAAAGCTGCACTATCAAAGAAAGGTTCAGCACTGTGAGTTGAATGCAAACATCACGAAGAGGGCTCTGAGAATGCTTCTGTTTAGTTCTGTGCGGTTTATCCCGTTTCCAACGAAATCCTCAGAGAGGACCAAATATCCACTTGCAGTTTCTACAAGAAGAGTGTTTCAAAGCTGAACTATCAAAGAAAGGTTCAGCACTGTGAGTTGAATGCAAACATCACGAAGAGGGTTCTGAGAATGCTTCTGTCTTCTTTCTATAGGAAGTTATTTCCTTTACTACGGTAGGCCTCAAAGAAGTGCAATTATCCCCTTGCAGTTTCTACAAAAAGAGTGTTTCAAACCTGAACTATCAAAGAAAGGTTCCACACTGTGAGTTGAATGCAGACATCACGAAGAAGTTCTGAGAATGCTTCTGTTTAGTCAGCTGAAATTATCCCGTTTCCAACGAATTCCTCAGAGAGGTCCAAATATGCACTTGCAGATTCTGCAGAAAGTGTGTTTCTAAACTGCTACATCGCAAGGAATGTTCAGCTCTGTGAGTTCCACTCAATCATCCCAAAGAATTTTCTGAGAAAGCTTCTGTCTAGATGTCATGTGAAGATATACCCGTTTCGAACGAAAGACACAGAGTGGTCCAAATATCCACTTGTAGATCCTGCAAAAAGAGTGTTTCAAACGTGAACTTTGAAAGGAAAGTTCAACTCTGGGATTTGAATGCAAACATCACAAAGAAGATTATGAGACTGCTTCTGTATAGTTTTTATGTGAAGATGATTCCGTTTCCAACGAAATCTTCAAAGAGGTCTACATGTCCCCTTGCAGATGCCACAGAAAGAGAGTTTCAAAACTGCGCTCTCAAAAGGAGTGTTCAACTCCGTGAGTTGAATGCAGTCATCACAGAGAAGCTTCTGAGAATGCTTCTATCTAGTATTTAGGTGAAGATATTTCCTTTTCCACCACAAACCACAAAGCCCTCCAAACGTCCACTTGCAGATTCTAGAAAAACAGTGTTTCATAGCTGCTCTTTCCAAAGGAAAGTTCAACTCTGGGAGTTGAATACAAACATCACCAAAAAGTTCCTGAGAATGCATCTGTCTAGTTTTTCTATGAAGCTATTCCCTTTACTACCATAGGCCTCAAAGCGCTCCAAATCTCCACTTGCACATTCCACAACAAGAGTGTTTCCAAACTGCTCTATCAATAGGAATGTTCAACTCTGTGAGGTGAATGCAATCATCACAAAGCAGTTTCTGAGAATGCTTCCGTTTAGTTAGGTGCAGTTATCCCGTTTCCAACGAAATCCTCAGAGAGGTCCAAATATCCACTTGTAGATTCTACAAAAAGTGTGTCTCAAACCTGCTCCATCCAAAGGAATGTTCAGCTCTGTGAGTTAAACTCAATCATCACAAAGTATTTTCTGAGAATGCTTCTGTCTAGATTTTATGCGAAGATATACCCGTTTCGAACGAAGGCCACAGAGTGGTCCAAATATCCACTTGCAGATCCTACAAAAAGAGTGTTTCAAACCTGAACTATCAAAGGAAGGTTCAACTCTGGGATTTGAATGCAAACATCACCAAGAAGTTTCTGAGAATGCTTCTGTTTAGTTTTTATGTGAAGATATTCCCGTTTCCAAAGACATCTTCGGAGAGGTCCACATATCCACTTGCAGATTCCACAAAAAGAGAGTTTCAACACTGCTCTATCCATAGGAGGGTTCAACTCTGTGAGTTGAATGCAATCATCACAGAGAAGTTTCTGAGAAGGCTTCTCTCCAGTTTTTATGTGACCATAATTCGTTTTCCACCACAGGCCTGAAAGCGCTCCAAATGTCCACTTGTAGACACTACGAAAAGCATGTTTCAGAACTACTCTATGAAAAGCAATGTGAAACTCTGGGAGTTGAACACAAACATCACAGAGAAGTTTCTGAGAATGCTTCTGTTTAGCTTTTCTGTGAAGATTCTCCCGTTTCCAACGAAATCTTCAAAGAGGTCCAAATATCCACTTGCAGATTCCACAGAAAGAGTGATTGGAAACTGCTCTTTGAAAAGGAACCTTCAACTCTGTGACTTGAATGCAATCATCACAAAGAAGTTTCTGACAATGCTTCTATCTAGCTTTTACGGGAAGAAAATTCCTTTTCCACCACAGGCCTCAAAGCCCTCCGAATGTCCACTTGCAGATTCTGGAAAAAGAGTGTTTCAAAGCTTCTCTCTCGAAAGGAAAGTTCAACTCAGTGAGTTGAATGCAAGCATCACAAAGAAGTTTCTGAGAATGCTACTGTCTAGCTTTTATATGAAGCTATTTCCTTTACTACCATAGGCCTCAAAGCGGTCCATATCTCCACTTGCAGATTCTACACAAAGAGAGTTTCCAAACTGCTCTGTCAAAGGGAATGTTCAACTCTGTGACTTGAATGCAATCATCACAAAGTAGTTTCTGAGAATGCTTCTGTTTAGTTCTGTGCGGTTTATCCCGTTTCCAACGAAATCCTCAGAGAGGCCCAAATATCCACTTGCACATTCTACAAATAGTGTGTTTCGAAACTGCTCCATCCAAAGGAATGTTCAGCTCTGTGAGTTAAACTCAGTCGTCACCAAGAGTTTTCTGTGAATGCTTCTGTTTTAGTTCTGTGCGGTTTATCCCGTTTCCAACGAAATCCTCAGAGAGGTCCAAATATCTACTTGCAGTTTCTACAGAAAGACCGTTTCAAACCTGAACTATCAAAGGAAGGTTCAACACTGTGAGTTGAATGCAAACATCACGAAGAAAGTTCAGAGAATGCTTCTGTTTAGTTCTGTGCGGTTTATCCCGTTTCCAAAGAAATCCTCAGAGAGGACCAAATATCCACTTGCAGTTTCTACAAGAAGAGTGTTTCAAAGCTGAACTATCAAAGAAAGGTTCAGCACTGTGAGTTGAATGCAAACATCACGAAGAGGGTTCTGAGAATGCTTCTGTCTTCTTTCTATAGGAAGTTATTTCCTTTACTACGGTAGGCCTCAAAGAAGTGCAATTATCCCCTTGCAGTTTCTACAAAAAGAGTGTTTCAAACCTGAACTATCAAAGAAAGGTTCCACACTGTGAGTTGAATGCAGACATCACGAAGAAGGTTCTGAGAATGCTTCTGTTTAGTCAGCTGAAATTATCCCGTTTCCAACGAATTCCTCAGAGAGGTCCAAATATGCACTTGCAGATTCTGCAGAAAGTGTGTTTCTAAACTGCTCCATCGCAAGGAATGTTCAGCTCTGTGAGTTCCACTCAATCATCCCAAAGAATTTTCTGAGAAAGCTTCTGTCTAGATGTCGTGTGAAGATATACCCGTTTCGAACGAAGGACACAGAGTGGTCCAAATATCCACTTGTAGATCCTGCAAAAAGAGTGTTTCAAACGTGAACTTTGAAAGGAAAGTTCAACTCTGGGATTTGAATGCAAACATCACAAAGAAGATTCTGAGACTGCTTCTGTATAGTTTTTATGTGAAGATGATTCCGTTTCCAATGAAATCTTCAAAGAGGTCTACATGTCCCCTTGCAGATGCCACAGAAAGAGAGTTTCAAAACTGCGCTCTCAAAAGGAGTGTTCAACTCCGTGAGTTGAATGCAGTCATCACAGAGAAGCTTCTGAGAATGCTTCTATCTAGTATTTAGGTGAAGATATTTCCTTTTCCACCACAAACCACAAAGCCCTCCAAACTGTCCACTTGCAGATTCTAGAAAAAGAGTGTTTCATAGCTGCTCTTTCCAAAGGAAAGTTCAACTCTGGGAGTTGAATACAAACATCACCAAAAAGTTCCTGAGAATGCATCTGTCTAGTTTTTCTATGAAGCTATTCCCTTTACTACCATAGGCCTCAAAGCGCTCCAAATCTCCACTTGCACATTCCACAACAAGAGTGTTTCCAAACTGCTCTATCAATAGGAATGTTCAACTCTGTGAGGTGAATGCAATCATCACAAAGCAGTTTCTGAGAATGCTTCCGTTTAGTTAGGTGCAGTTATCCCGTTTCCAACGAAATCCTCAGAGAGGTCCAAATATCCACTTGTAGATTCTACAAAAAGTGTGTCTCAAACCTGCTCCATCCAAAGGAATGTTCAGCTCTGTGAGTTCAACTCAATCATCACAAAGTATTTCCTGAGAATGCTTCTGTCTAGATTTTATGCGAAGATGTACCCTGTTTCGAACGAAGGCCACAGAGTGGTCCAAATATCCACTTGCAGATCCTACAAAAAGAGTGTTTCAAACCTGAACTATCAAAGGAAGGTTCAACTCTGGGATTTGAATGCAAACATCACCAAGATGTTTCTGAGAATGCTTCTGTTTAGTTTTTATGTGAAGATATTCCCGTTTCCAAAGACATCTTCGGAGAGGTCCACATATCCACTTGCAGATTCCACAAAAAGAGAGTTTCAACACTGCTCTATCCATAGGAGGGTTCAACTCTGTGAGTTGAATGCAATCATCACAGAGAAGTTTCTGAGAAGGCTTCTCTCCAGTTTTTATGTGACCATAATTCGTTTTCCACCACAGGCCTGAAAGCGCTCCAAATGTCCACTTGCAGACACTACGAAAAGCATGTTTCAGAACTACTCTATGAAAAGCAACGTGAAACTCTGGGAGTTGAACACAAACATCACAGAGAAGTTTCTGAGAATGCTTCTGTTTTAGTTCTGTGCGTTTTATCCCGTTTCCAACGAAATCCTCAGAGAGGCCCAAATATCCACTTGCAGATTCCACAGAAAGAGTGATTGGAAACTGCTGTTTGAAAAGGAACCTTCAACTCTGTGAGTTGAATGCAATCATCACAAAGAAGTTTCTGACAATGCTTCTGTTTTAGTTCTGTGCGGTTTATCCCGTTTCCAACGAAATCCTCAGAGAGGACCAAACATCCACTTGCAGTTTCTACAAAAAGAGTGTTTCAAAGCTGCACTATCAAAGAAAGGTTCAGCACTGTGAGTTGAATGCAAACATCACGAAGAGGGCTCTGAGAATTCTTCTGTTTAGTTCTGTGCGGTTTATCCCTGTTCCAACGAAATCCTCAGAGAGGACCAAATATCCACTTGCAGTTTCTACAAAAAGAGTGTTTCAAAGCTGAACTATCGAAGAAAGGCTCAGCACTGTGAGTTGAATGCAAACATCACGAAGAGGGTTCTGAGAATGCTTCTGTCTTCTTTTTATAGGAAGTTATTTCCTTTACTACGGTAGGCCTCAAAGAAGTGCAATTATCCCCTTGCAGTTTCTACAAAAAGAGTGTTTCAAACCTGAACTATCAAAGAAAGGTTCCACACTGTGAGTTGAATGCAGACATCACGAAGAAGGTTCTGAGAATGCTTCTGTTTAGTCAGCTGAAATTATCCCGTTTCCAACGAATTCCTCAGAGAGGTCCAAATATGCACTTGCAGATTCTGCAGAAAGTGTGTTTCTAAACTGCTCCATCGCAAGGAATGTTCAGCTCTGTGAGTTCCACTCAATCATCCCAAAGAATTTTCTGAGAAAGCTTCTGTCTAGATGTCATGTGAAGATATACCCGTTTCGAACGGAGGACACGGAGTGGTCCAAATATCCACTTGTAGATCCTGCAAAAAGAGTGTTTCAAACGTGAACTTTGAAAGGAAAGTTCAACTCTGGGATTTGAATGCAAACATCACAAAGAAGATTCTGAGACTGCTTCTGTATAGTTTTTATGTGAAGATGATTCCGTTTCCAACGAAATCTTCAAAGAGGTCCACATGTCCCCTTGCGGATGCCACAGAAGGAGAGTTTCAAAACTGCGCTCTCAAAAGGAGTGTTCAACTCCGTGAGTTGAATGCAGTCATCACAGAGAAGCTTCTGAGAATGCTTCTATCTAGTATTTAGGTGAAGATATTTCCTTTTCCACCACAAACCACAAAGCCCTCCAAACGTCCACTTGCAGATTCTAGAAAAAGAGTGTTTCATAGCTGCTCTTTCCAAAGGAAAGTTCAACTCTGGGAGTTGAATACAAACATCACCAAAAAGTTCCTGAGAATGCATCTGTCTAGTTTTTCTATGAAGCTATTCCCTTTACTACCACAGGCCTCAAAGCGCTCCAAATCTCCACTTGCACATTCCACAACAAGAGTGTTTCCAAACTGCTCTATCAATAGGAATGTTCAACTCTGTGAGGTGAATGCAATCATCACAAAGCAGTTTCTGAGAATGCTTCCGTTTAGTTAGGTGCAGTTATCCCGTTTCCAACGAAATCCTCAGAGAGGTCCAAATATCCACTTGTAGATTCTACAAAAAGTGTGTCTCAAACCTGCTCCATCCAAAGGAATGTTCAGCTCTGTGAGTTAAACTCAATCATCACAAAGTATTTTCTGAGAATGCTTCTGTCTAGATTTTATGCGAAGATATACCCGTTTCGAACGAAGGCCACAGAGTGGTCCAAATATCCACTTGCAGATCCTACAAAAAGAGTGTTTCAAACCTGAACTATCAAAGGAAGGTTCAACTCTGGGATTTGAATGCAAACATCACCAAGAAGTTTCTGAGAATGCTTCTGTTTAGTTTTTATGTGAAGATATTCCCGTTTCCAAAGACATCTTCGGAGAGGTCCACATATCCACTTGCAGATTCCACAAAAAGAGAGTTTCAACACTGCTCTATCCATAGGAGGGTTCAACTCTGTGAGTTGAATGCAATCATCACAGAGAAGTTTCTGAGAAGGCTTCTCTCCAGTTTTTATGTGACCATAATTCGTTTTCCACCACAGGCCTGAAAGCGCTCCAAATGTCCACTTGCAGACACTACGAAAAGCATGTTTCAGAACTACTCTATGAAAAGCAACGTGAAACTCTGGGAGTTGAACACAAACATCACAGAGAAGTTTCTGAGAATGCTTCTGTTGAGCTTTTCTGTGAAGATTCTCCCGTTTCCAACGAAATCTTCAAAGAGGTCGAAATATCCACTTGCAGATTCCACAGAAAGAGTGATTGGAAACTGCTGTTTGAAAAGGAACCTTCAACTCTGTGAGTTGAATGCAATCATCACAAAGAAGTTTCTGACAATGCTTCTATCTAGCTTTTACGGGAAGATAATTCCTTTTCCTCCACAGGCCTCAAAGCTCCCAAATGTCCACTTGCACATTCTGGAAAAAGAGTGTTTCAAAGCTTCTCTCTCGAAAGGAAAGTTCAACTCTGTGAGTTGAATGCAAGCATCACAAAGAAGTTTCTGAGAATGCTACTGTCTAGCTTTTATATGAAGCTATTTCCTTTACTACCATAGGCCTCAAAGCGGTCCATATCTCCACTTGCAGATTCTACACAAAGAGAGTTTCCAAACTGCTCTGTCAAAGGGAATGTTCAACTCTGTGACTTGAATGCAATCATCACAAAGTAGTTTCTGAGAATGCTTCTGTTTAGTTCTGTGCGGTTTATCCCGTTTCCAACGAAATCCTCAGAGAGGCCTAAATATCCACTTGCACATTCTACAAATAGTGTGTTTCGAAACTGCTCCATCCAAAGGAATGTTCAGCTCTGTGAGTTAAACTCAGTCGTCACCAAGAGTTTTCTGTGAATGCTTCTGTTTTAGTTCTGTGCGGGTTATCCCGTTTCCAACGAAATCCTCAGAGAGGTCCAAATATCTACTTGCAGTTTCTACAGAAAGACCGTTTCAAACCTGAACTATCAAAGAAAGGTTCAACACTGTGAGTTGAATGCAAACATCACGAAGAAGGTTCTGAGAATGCTTCTGTTTAGTTCTGTGCGGTTTATCCCGTTTCCAACGAAATCCTCAGAGAGGACCAAATATCCACTTGCAGTTTCTACAAAAAGAGTGTTTCAAAGCTGAACTATCAAAGAAAGGTTCAGCACTTGTGAGTTGAATGCAAACATCACGAAGAAGGTTCTGAGAATGCTTCTGTCTTCTTTTTATAGGAAGTTATTTCCTTTACTACGGTAGGCCTCAAAGAAGTGCAATGATCCCCTTGCAGTTTCTACAAAAAGAGTCTTTCAAACCTGAACTATCAAAGAAAGGTTCCACACTGTGAGTTGAATGCAGACATCACGAAGAAGGTTCTGAGAATGCTTCTGTTTAGTCAGCTGAAATTATCCCGTTTCCAACGAATTCCTCAGAGAGGTCCACATATGCACTTGCAGATTCTGCAGAAAGGGTGTTTCTAAACTGCTACATCGCAAGGAGTGTTCAGCTCTGTTTGCTCAACTCAATCATCCCAAAGAATTTTCTGAGAAAGCTTCTGTCTAGATGTCATGTGAAGATATACCCGTTTCGAACGAAGGACACAGAGTGGTCCAAATATCCACTTGTAGATCCTGCAAAAAGAGTGTTTCAAACGTGAACTTGGAAAGGAAAGTTCAACTCTGGGATTTGAATGCAAACATCACAAAGAAGATTCTGAGACTGCTTCTGTATAGTTTTGATGTGAAGATTATTCCGTTTCCAACGAAATCTTCAAAGAGGTCTACATGTCCCCTTGCAGATGCCACAGAAAGAGAGTTTCAAAACTGCGCTCTCAAAAGGAGTGTTCAACTCCGTGAGTTGAATGCAGTCATCACAGAGAAGCTTCTGAGAATGCTTCTATCTAGTATTTAGGTGAAGATATTTCCTTTTCCACCACAAACCACAAAGCCCTCCAAACGTCCACTTGCAGATTCTAGAAAAAGAGTGTTTCATAGCTGCTCTTTCCAAAGGAAAGTTCAACTCTGGGAGTTGAATACAAACATCACCAAAAAGTTCCTGAGAATGCATCTGTCTAGTTTTTCTATGAAGCTATTCCCTTTACTACCATAGGCCTCAAAGCGCTCCAAATCTCCACTTGCACATTCCACAACAAGAGTGTTTCCAAACTGCTCTATCAATAGGAATGTTCAACTCTGTGAGGTGAATGCAATCATCACAAAGCAGTTTCTGAGAATGCTTCCGTTTAGTTAGGTGCAGTTATCCCGTTTCCAGCGAAATCCTCAGAGAGGTCCAAATATCCACTTGTAGATTCTACAAAAAGTGTGTCTCAAACCTGCTCCATCCAAAGGAATGTTCAGCTCTGTGAGTTCAACTCAATCATCACAAAGTATTTTCTGAGAATGCTTCTGTCTAGATTTTATGCGAAGATATACCCGTTTCGAACGAAGGCCACAGAGTGGTCCAAATAGCCACTTGCAGATCCTACAAAAAGAGTGTTTCAAACCTGAACTATCAAAGGAAGGTTCACCTTCTGGGATTTGAATGCAAACATCACCAAGAAGATTCTGAGAATGCTTCTGTTTAGTTTTTATGTGAAGATATTCCCGTTTCCAAAGACATCTTCGGAGAGGTCCACATATCCACTTGCAGATTCCACAAAAAGAGAGTTTCAACACTGCTCTATCCATAGGAGGGTTCAACTCTGTGAGTTGAATGCAATCATCACAGAGAAGTTTCTGAGAAGGCTTCTCTCCAGTTTTTATGTGACCATAATTCGTTTTCCACCACAGGCCTGAAAGCGCTCCAAATGTCCACTTGCAGACACTACGAAAAGCATGTTTCAGAACTACTCTATGAAAAGCAACGTGAAACTCTGGGAGTTGAACACAAACATCACAGAGAAGTTCTGAGAATGCTTCTGTTTAGCTTTTCTGTGAAGATTCTCCCGTTTCCAACGAAATCTTCAAAGAGGTCGAAATATCCACTTGCAGATTCCACAGAAAGAGTGATTGGAAACTGCTGTTTGAAAAGGAACCTTCAACTCTGTGAGTTGAATGCAATCATCTCAAAGAAGTTTCTGACAATGCTTCTATCTAGCTTTTACGGGAAGATAATTCCTTTTCCACCACAGGCCTCAAAGCCCTCCAAATGTCCACTTGCAGATTCCGGAAAAAGAGTGTTTCAAAGCTTCTCTCTCGAAAGGAAAGTTCAACTCTGTGAGTTGAATGCAAGCATCACAAAGAAGTTTCTGAGAATGCTACTGTCTAGCTTTTATATGAAGCTATTTCCTTTACTACCATAGGCCTCAAAGCGGTCCATATCTCCACTTGCAGATTCTACACAAAGAGAGTTTCCAAACTGCTCTGTCAAAGGGAATGTTCAACTCTGTGACTTGAATGCAATCATCACAAAGTAGTTTCTGAGAATGCTTCTGTTTAGTTCTGTGCGTTTTATCCCGTTTCCAACGAAATCCTCAGAGAGGCCCAAATATCCACTTGCAGATTCTACAAATAGTGTGTTTCGAAACTGCTCCATCCAAAGGAATGTTCAGCTCTGTGAGTTAAACTCAGTCGTCACCAAGAGTTTTCTGTGAATGCTTCTGTCTTCTTTCTATAGGAAGTTATTTCCTTTACTACGGTAGGCCTCAAAGAAGTGCAATTATCCCCTTGCAGTTTCTACAAAAAGAGTGTTTCAAACCTGAACTATCAAAGAAAGGGTTCCACACTGTGAGTTGAATGCAGACATCACGAAGAAGGTTCTGAGAATGCTTCTGTTTAGTCAGCTGAAATTATCCCGTTTCCAACGAATTCCTCAGAGAGGTCCAAATATGCACTTGCAGATTCTGCAGAAAGTGTGTTTCTAAACTGCTACATCGCAAGGAATGTTCAGCTCTGTGAGTTCCACTCAATCATCCCAAAGAATTTTCTGAGAAAGCTTCTGTCTAGATGTCATGTGAAGATATACCCGTTTCGAACGAAGGACACAGAGTGGTCCAAATATCCACTTGTAGATCCTGCAAAAAGAGTGTTTCAAACGTGAACTTGGAAAGGAAAGTTCAACTCTGGGATTTGAATGCGAAACATCACAAAGAAGATTCTGAGACTGCTTCTGTATAGTTTTTATGTGAAGATGATTCCGTTTCCAACGAAATCTTCAAAGAGGTCTACATGTCCCCTTGCAGATGCCACAGAAAGAGAGTTTCAAAACTGCGCTCTCAAAAGGAGTGTTCAACTCCGTGAGTTGAATGCAGTCATCACAGAGAAGCTTCTGAGAATGCTTCTATCTAGTATTTAGGTGAAGATATTTCCTTTTCCACCACAAACCACAAAGCCCTCCAAACGTCCACTTGCAGATTCTAGAAAAAGAGTGTTTCATAGCTGCTCTTTCCAAAGGAAAGTTCAACTCTGGGAGTTGAATACAAACATCACCAAAAGGTTCCTGAGAATGCATCTGTCTAGTTTTTCTATGAAGCTATTCCCTTTACTACCATAGGCCTCAAAGCGCTCCAAATCTCCACTTGCACATTCCACAACAAGAGTGTTTCCAAACTGCTCTATCAATAGGAATGTTCAACTCTGTGAGGTGAATGCAATCATCACAAAGCAGTTTCTGAGAATGCTTCCGTTTAGTTAGGTGCAGTTATCCCGTTTCCAACGAAATCCTCAGAGAGGTCCAAATATCCACTTGTAGATTCTACAAAAAGTGTGTCTCAAACCTGCTCCATCCAAAGGAATGGTCAGCTCTGTGATTTAAACTCAATCATCACAAAGTATTTTCTGAGAATGCTTCTGTCTAGATTTTATGCGAAGATATACCCGTTTTGAACGAAGGCCACAGAGTGGTCCAAATAGCCACTTGCAGATCCTACAGAAAGAGTGTTTCAAACCTGAACTATCAAAGGAAGGTTCAACTCTGGGATTTGAATGCAAACATCACCAAGAAGTTTCTGAGAATGCTTCTGTTTAGTTTTTATGTGAAGATATTCCCGTTTCCAAAGACATCTTCGGAGAGGTCCACATATCCACTTGCAGATTCCACAAAAAGAGAGTTTCAACACTGCTCTATCCATAGGAGGGTTCAACTCTGTGAGTTGAATGCAATCATCACAGAGAAGTTTCTGAGAAGCCTTCTGTCCAGTTTTTATGTGACCATAATTCGTTTTCCACCACAGGCCTGAAAGCGCTCCAAATGTCCCCTTGCAGACAATACGAAAAGCATGTTTCAGAACTACTCTATGAGAAGCAATGTGACACTCTGGGAGTTGAACACAAACATCACAGAGAAGTTTCTGAGAATGCTTCTGTTTAGCTTTTCTGTGAAGATTATCCCTTTTCCAACGAAATCTTCAAAGAGGTCCAAATATCCACTTGCAGATTCCACAGAAAGAGTGTTTGGAAACTGCTGTTGGAAAAGGAACCTTCAACTCTGTGAGTTGAATGCAATCATCACAAAGAAGTTTCTGACAATGCTTCTATCTAGCTTTTACGGGAAGATAATTCCTTTTCCACCACAGGCCTCAAAGCTCCCCAAATGTCCACTTGCACATTCTGGAAAAAGAGTGTTTCAAAGCTTCTCTCTCGAAAGGAAAGTTCAACTCTGTGAGTTGAATGCAAGCATCACAAAGAAGTTTCTGAGAATGCTACTGTCTAGCTTTTATATGAAGCTATTTCCTTTACTACCATAGGCCTCAAAGCGGTCCATATCTCCACTTGCAGATTCTACACAAAGAGAGTTTCCAAACTGCTCTGTCAAAGGGAATGTTCAACTCTGTGACTTGAATGCAATCATCACAAAGTAGTTTCTGAGAATGCTTCTGTTTTAGTTCTGTGCGTTTTATCCCGTTTCCAACGAAATCCTCAGAGAGGCCCAAATATCCACTTGCAGATTCTACAAATAGTGTGTTTCGAAACTGCTCCATCCAAAGGAATGTTCAGCTCTGTGAGTTAAACTCAGTCGTCACCAAGAGTTTTCTGTGAATGCTTCTGTTTTAGTTCTGTGCGGTTTATCCCGTTTCCAACGAAATCCTCAGAGAGGACCAAATATCCACTTGCAGTTTCTACAAAAAGAGTGTTTCAAAGCTGCACTATCAAAGAAAGGTTCAGCACTGTGAGTTGAATGCAAACATCACGAAGAGGGCTCTGAGAATGCTTCTGTTTAGTTCTGTGCGGTTTATCCCGTTTCCAACGAAATCCTCAGAGAGGACCAAATATCCACTTGCAGTTTCTACAAGAAGAGTGTTTCAAAGCTGAACTATCAAAGAAAGGTTCAGCACTGTGAGTTGAATGCAAACATCACGAAGAGGGTTCTGAGAATGCTTCTGTCTTCTTTCTATAGGAAGTTATTTCCTTTACTACGGTAGGCCTCAAAGAAGTGCCATTATCCCCTTGCAGTTTCTACAAAAAGAGTGTTTCAAACCTGAACTATCAAAGAAAGGTTCCACACTGTGAGTTGAATGCAGACATCACGAAGAAGGTTCTGAGAATGCTTCTGTTTAGTCAGCTGAAATTATCCCGTTTCCAACGAATTCCTCAGAGAGGTCCAAATATGCACTTGCAGATTCTGCAGAAAGTGTGTTTCTAAACTGCTACATCGCAAGGAATGTTCAGCTCTGTGAGTTCCACTCAATCATCCCAAAGAATTTTCTGAGAAAGCTTCTGTGTAGATGTCATGTGAAGATATACCCGTTTCGAACGAAGGACACAGAGTGGTCCAAATATCCACTTGTAGATCCTGCAAAAAGAGTGTTTCAAACGTGAACTTTGAAAGGAAAGTTCAACTCTGGGATTTGAATGCAAACATCACAAAGAAGATTCTGAGACTGCTTCTGTATAGTTTTTATGTGAAGATGATTCCGTTTCCAACGAAATCTTCAAAGAGGTCTACATGTCCCCTTGCAGATGCCACAGAAAGAGAGTTTCAAAACTGCGCTCTCAAAAGGAGTGTTCAACTCCGTGAGTTGAATGCAGTCATCACAGAGAAGCTTCTGAGAATGCTTCTATCTAGTATTTAGGTGAAGATATTTCCTTTTCCACCACAAACCACAAAGCCCTCCAAACGTCCACTTGCAGATTCTAGAAAAAGAGTGTTTCATAGCTGCTCTTTCCAAAGGGAAAGTTCAACTCTGGGAGTTGAATACAAACATCACCAAAAAGTTCCTGAGAATGCATCTGTCTAGTTTTTCTATGAAGCTATTCCCTTTACTACCATAGGCCTCAAAGCGCTCCAAATCTCCACTTGCACATTCCACAACAAGAGTGTTTCCAAACTGCTCTATCAATAGGAATGTTCAACTCTGTGAGGTGAATGCAATCATCACAAAGCAGTTTCTGAGAATGCTTCCGTTTAGTTAGGAGCAGTTATCGCGTTTCCAACGAAATCCTCAGAGAGGTCCAAATATCCACTTGTAGATTCTACAAAAAGTGTGTCTCAAACCTGCTCCATCCAAAGGAATGTTCAGCTCTGTGAGTTAAACTCAATCATCACAAAGTATTTTCTGAGAATGCTTCTGTCTAGATTTTATGCGAAGATATACCCGTTTCGAACGAAGGCCACAGAGTGGTCCAAATAGCCACTTGCAGATCCTACAAAAAGAGTGTTTCAAACCTGAACTATCAAAGGAAGGTTCAACTCCTGGGATTTGAATGCAAACATCACCAAGAAGTTTCTGAGAATGCTTCTGTTTAGTTTTTATGTGAAGATATTCCCGTTTCCAAAGACATCTTCGGAGAGGTCCACATATCCACTTGCAGATTCCACAAAAAGAGAGTTTCAACACTGCTCTATCCATAGGAGGGTTCAACTCTGTGAGTTGAATGCAATCATCACAGAGAAGTTTCTGAGAAGGCTTCTCTCCAGTTTTTATGTGACCATAATTCGTTTTCCACCACAGGCCTGAAAGCGCTCCAAATGTCCACTTGCAGACACTACGAAAAGCATGTTTCAGAACTACTCTATGAAAAGCAACGTGAAACTCTGGGGAGTTGAACACAAACATCACAGAGAAGTTTCTGAGAATGCTTCTGTTTTAGTTCTGTGCGTTTTATCCCGTTTCCAACGAAATCCTCAGAGAGGCCCAAATATCCACTTGCAGATTCCACAGAAAGAGTGATTGGAAACTGCTGTTTGAAAAGGAACCTTCAACTCTGTGAGTTGAATGCAATCATCACAAAGAAGTTTCTGACAATGCTTCTGTTTTAGTTCTGTGCGGTTTATCCCGTTTCCAACGAAATCCTCAGAGAGGACCAAACATCCACTTGCAGTTTCTACAAAAAGAGTGTTTCAAAGCTGCACTATCAAAGAAAGGTTCAGCACTGTGAGTTGAATGCAAACATCACGAAGAGGGCTCTGAGAATTCTTCTGTTTAGTTCTGTGCGGTTTATCCCGTTTCCAACGAAATCCTCAGAGAGGACCAAATATCCACTTGCAGTTTCTACAAGAAGAGTGTTTCAAAGCTGAACTATCAAAGAAAGGTTCAGCACTGTGAGTTGAATGCAAACATCACGAAGAGGGTTCTGAGAATGCTTCTGTCTTCTTTCTATAGGAAGTTATTTCCTTTACTACGGTAGGCCTCAAAGAAGTGCAATTATCCCCTTGCAGTTTCTACAAAAAGAGTGTTTCAAACCTGAACTATCAAAGAAAGGTTCCACACTGTGAGTTGAATGCAGACATCACGAAGAAGGTTCTGAGAATGCTTCTGTTTAGTCAGCTGAAATTATCCCGTTTCCAACGAATTCCTCAGAGAGGTCCAAATATGCACTTGCAGATTCTGCAGAAAGTGTGTTTCTAAACTGCTCCATCGCAAGGAATGTTCAGCTCTGTGAGTTCCACTCAATCATCCCAAAGAATTTTCTGAGAAAGCTTCTGTCTAGATGTCATGTGAAGATATACCCGTTTCGAACGAAGGACACAGAGTGGTCCAAATATCCACTTGTAGATCCTGCAAAAAGAGTGTTTCAAACGTGAACTTTAAAGTAAAGTTCAATTCTGGGATTTGAATGCAAACATCACAAAGAAGATTCTGAGACTGCTTCTGTATAGTTTTTATGTGAAGATGATTCCGTTTCCAACGAAATCTTCAAAGAGGTCTACATGTCCCCTTGCAGATGCCACAGAAAGAGAGTTTCAAAACTGCGCTCTCAAAAGGAGTGTTCAACTCCGTGAGTTGAATGCAGTCATCACAGAGAAGCTTCTGAGAATGCTTCTATCTAGTATTTAGGTGAAGATATTTCCTTTTCCACCACAAACCACAAAGCCCTCCAAACGTCCACTTGCAGATTCTAGAAAAAGAGTGTTTCATAGCTGCTCTTTCCAAAGGAAAGTTCAACTCTGGGAGTTGAATACAAACATCACCAAAAGGTTCCTGAGAATGCATCTGTCTAGTTTTTCTATGAAGCTATTTCCTTTACTACCATAGGCCTCAAAGCGCTCCAAATCTCCACTTGCACATTCCACAACAAGAGGGTTTCCAAACTGCTCTATCAATAGGAATGGTCAACTCTGTGAGGTGAATGCAATCATCACAAAGCAGTTTCTGAGAATGCTTCCGCTTAGTTAGGTGCAGTTATCCCGTTTCCAACGAAATCCTCAGAGAGGTCGAAATATCCACTTGTAGATTCTACAAAAAGTGTGTCTCAAACCTGCTCCATCCAAAGGAATGTTCAGCTCTGTGAGTTAAACTCAATCATCACAAAGTATTTTCTGAGAATGCTTCTGTCTAGATTTTATGCGAAGATGTACCCGTTTCGAACGAAGGCCACAGAGTGGTCCAAATATCCACTTGCAGATCCTACAAAAAGAGTGTTTCAAACCTGAACTATCAAAGGAAGGTTCAACTCTGGGATTTGAATGCAAACATCACCAAGAAGTTTCTGAGAATGCTTCTGTTTAGTTTTTATGTGAAGATATTCCCGTTTCCAAAGACATCTTCGGAGAGGTCCACATATCCACTTGCAGGTTCCACAAAAAGAGAGTTTCAACACTGCTCTATCCATAGGAGGGTTCAACTCTGTGAGTTGAATGCAATCATCACAGAGAAGTTTCTGAGAAGGCTTCTCTCCAGTTTTTATGTGACCATAATTCGTTTTCCACCACAGGCCTGAAAGCGCTCCAAATGTCCACTTGTAGACACTACGAAAAGCATGTTTCAGAACTACTCTATGAAAAGCAATGTGAAACTCTGGGAGTTGAACACAAACATCACAGAGAAGTTTCTGAGAATGCTTCTGTTTTAGTTCTGTGCGTTTTATCCCGTTTCCAACGAAATCCTCAGAGAGGCCCAAATATCCACTTGCAGATTCCACAGAAAGAGTGATTGGAAACTGCTGTTTGAAAAGGAACCTTCAACTCTGTGAGTTGAATGCAATCATCACAAAGAAGTTTCTGACAATGCTTCTATCTAGCTTTTACGGGAAGATAATTCCTTTTCCACCACAGGCCTCAAAGCTCCCCAAATGTCCACTTGCACATTCTGGAAAAAGAGTGTTTCAAAGCTTCTCTCTCGAAAGGAAAGTTCAACTCTGTGAGTTGAATGCAAGCATCACAAAGAAGTTTCTGAGAATGCTACTGTCTAGGTTTTATATGAAGCTATTTCCTTTACTACCATAGGCCTCAAAGCGGTCCATATCTCCACTTGCAGATTCTACACAAAGAGAGTTTCCAAACTGCTCTGTCAAAGGGAATGTTCAACTCTGTGACTTGAATGCAATAATCACAAAGTAGTTTCTGAGAATGCTTCTGTTTTAGTTCTGTGCGTTTTATCCCGTTTCCAACGAAATCCTCAGAGAGGCCCAAATATCCACTTGCAGATTCTACAAATAGTGTGTTTCGAAACTGCTCCATCCAAAGGAATGTTCAGCTCTGTGAGTTAAACTCAGTCGTCACCAAGAGTTTTCTGTGAATGCTTCTGTTTTAGTTCTGTGCGGGTTATCCCGTTTCCAACGAAATCCTCAGAGAGGTCCAAATATCTACTTGCAGTTTCTACAGAAAGACCGTTTCAAACCTGAACTATCAAAGAAAGGTTCAACACTGTGAGTTGAATGCAAACATCACGAAGAAGGTTCTGAGAATGCTTCTGTTTAGTTCTGTGCGTTTTATCCCGTTTCCAACGAAATCCTCAGACAGGACCAAATATCCACTTGCAGTTTCTACAAAAAGAGTGTTTCAAAGCTGCACTATCAAAGAAAGGTTCAGCACTGTGAGTTGAATGCAAACATCACGAAGAGGGTTCTGAGAATGCTTCTGTCTTCTTTCTATAGGAAGTTATTTCCTTTACTACGGTACTCCTCAAAGAGGGTAATTATCCCCTTGCAGTTTCTACAAAAAGAGTGTTTCAAACCTGAACTATCAAAGAAAGGTTCCACACTGTGAGTTGAATGCAGACATCACGAAGAAGGTTCTGAGACTGCTTCTGTTTAGTCAGCTGAAATTATCCCGTTTCCAACGAATTCCTCAGAGAGGTCCAAATATGCACTTGCAGATTCTGCAGAAAGTGTGTTTCTAAACTGCTACATCGCAAGGAATGTTCAGCTCTGTGAGTTCCACTCAATCATCCCAAAGAATTTTCTGAGAAAGCTTCTGTCTAGATGTCGTGTGAAGATATACCCGTTTCGAACGAAGGACACAGAGTGGTCCAAATATCCACTTGTAGATCCTGCAAAAAGAGTGTTTCAAACGTGAACTTTGAAAGGAAAGTTCAACTCTGGGATTTGAATGCAAACATCACAAAGAAGATTCTGAGACTGCTTCTGTATAGTTTTTATGTGAAGATGATTCCGTTTCCAACGAAATCTTCAAAGAGGTCTACATGTCCCCTTGCAGATGCCACAGAAAGAGTTTCAAAACTGCGCTCTCAAAAGGAGTGTTCAACTCCGTGAGTTGAATGCAGTCATCACAGAGAAGCTTCTGAGAATGCTTCTATCTAGTATTTAGGTGAAGATATTTCCTTTTCCACCACAAACCACAAAGCCCTCCAAACGTCCACTTGCAGATTCTAGAAAAAGAGTGTTTCATAGCTGCTCTTTCCAAAGGAAAGTTCAACTCTGGGAGTTGAATACAAACATCACCAAAAAGTTCCTGAGAATGCATCTGTCTAGTTTTTCTATGAAGCTATTCCCTTTACTACCATAGGCCTCAAAGCGCTCCAAATCTCCACTTGCACATTCCACAACAAGAGTGTTTCCAAACTGCTCTATCAATAGGAATGTTCAACTCTGTGAGGTGAATGCAATCATCACAAAGCAGTTTCTGAGAATGCTTCCGTTTAGTTAGGTGCAGTTATCCCGTTTCCAACGAAATCCTCAGAGAGGTCCAAATATCCACTTGTAGATTCTACAAAAAGTGTGTCTCAAACCTGCTCCATCCAAAGGAATGGTCAGCTCTGTGATTTAAACTCAATCATCACAAAGTATTTTCTGAGAATGCTTCTGTCTAGATTTTATGCGAAGATATACCCGTTTCGAACGAAGGCCACAGAGTGGTCCAAATAGCCACTTGCAGATCCTACAGAAAGAGTGTTTCAAACCTGAACTATCAAAGGAAGGTTCAACTCTGGGATTTGAATGCAAACATCACCAAGAAGTTTCTGAGAATGCTTCTGTTTAGTTTTTATGTGAAGATATTCCCGTTTCCAAAGACATCTTCGGAGAGGTCCACATATCCACTTGCAGATTCCACAAAAAGAGAGTTTCAACAATGCTCTATCCATAGGAGGGTTCAACTCTGTGAGTTGAATGCAATCATCACAGAGAAGTTTCTGAGAAGGCTTCTCTCCAGTTTTTATGGGACCATAATTCGTTTTCCACCACAGGCCTGAAAGCGCTCCAAATGTCCACTTGCAGACACTACGAAAAGCATGTTTCAGAACTACTCTATGAAAAGCAATGTGAAACTCTGGGAGTTGAACACAAACATCACAGAGAAGTTTCTGAGAATGCTTCTGTTTTAGTTCTGTGCGTTTTATCCCGTTTCCAACGAAATCCTCAGAGAGGCCCAAATATCCACTTGCAGATTCCACAGAAAGAGTGATTGGAAACTGCTGTTTGAAAAGGAACCTTCAACTCTGTGAGTTGAATGCAATCATCACAAAGAAGTTTCTGACAATGCTTCTATCTAGCTTTTACGGGAAGATAATTCCTTTTCCACCCCAGGCCTCAAAGCTCCCCAAATGTCCACTTGCACATTCTGGAAAAAGAGTGTTTCAAAGCTTCTCTCTCGAAAGGAAAGTTCAACTCTGTGAGTTGAATGCAAGCATCACAAAGAAGTTTCTGAGAATGCTACTGTCTAGCTTTTATATGAAGCTATTTCCTTTACTACCATAGGCCTCAAAGCGGTCCATATCTCCACTTGCAGATTCTACACAAAGAGAGTTTCCAAACTGCTCTGTCAAAGGGAATGTTCAACTCTGTGACTTGAATGCAATCATCACAAAGTAGTTTCTGAGAATGCTTCTGTTTTAGTTCTGTGCGTTTTATCCCGTTTCCAACGAAATCCTCAGAGAGGCCCAAATATCCACTTGCAGATTCTACAAATAGTGTGTTTCGAAACTGCTCCATCCAAAGGAATGTTCAGCTCTGTGAGTTAAACTCAGTCGTCACCAAGAGTTTTCTGTGAATGCTTCTGTTTTAGTTCTGTGCGGTTTATCCCGTTTCCAACGAAATCCTCAGAGAGGACCAAATATCCACTTGCAGTTTCTACAAAAAGAGTGTTTCAAAGTTGCACTATCAAAGAAAGGTTCAGCACTGTGAGTTGAATGCAAACATCACGAAGAGGGCTCTGAGAATTCTTCTGTTTAGTTCTGTGCGGTTTATCCCGTTTCCAACGAAATCCTCAGAGAGGACCAAATATCCACTTGCAGTTTCTACAAGAAGAGTGTTTCAAAGCTGAACTATCAAAGAAAGGTTCAGCACTGTGAGTTGAATGCAAACATCACGAAGAGGGTTCTGAGAATGCTTCTGTCTTCTTTCTATAGGAAGTTATTTCCTTTACTACGGTAGGCCTCAAAGAAGTGTAATTATCCCCTTGCAGTTTCTACAAAAAGAGTGTTTCAAACCTGAACTATCAAAGAAAGGTTCCACACTGTGAGTTGAATGCAGACATCACGAAGAAGGTTCTGAGAATGCTTCTGTTTAGTCAGCTGAAATTATCCCGTTTCCAACGAATTCCTCAGAGAGGTCCACATATGCACTTGCAGATTCTGCAGAAAGTGTGTTTCTAAACTGCTACATCACAAGGAATGCTCAGCTCTGTGAGTTCAAATCAATCATCCCAAACAATTTTCTGAGAAAGCTTCTGTCTAGATGTCATGTGAAGATATACCCGTTTCGAACGAAGGACACAGAGTGGTCCAAATATCCACTTGTAGATCCTGCAAAAAGAGTGTTTCAAACGTGAACTTTGAAAGGAAAGTTCAACTCTGGGATTTGAATGCAAACATCACAAAGAAGATTCTGAGACTGCTTCTGTATAGTTTTTATGTGAAGATGATTCCGTTTCCAACGAAATCTTCAAAGAGGTCTACATGTCCCCTTGCAGATGCCACAGAAAGAGAGTTTCAAAACTGCGCTCTCAAAAGGAGTGTTCAACTCCGTGAGTTGAATGCAGTCATCACAGAGAAGCTTCTGAGAATGCTTCTATCTAGTATTTAGGTGAAGATATTTCCTTTTCCACCACAAACCACAAAGCCCTCCAAACGTCCACTTGCAGATTCTAGAAAAAGAGTGTTTCATAGCTGCTCTTTCTAAAGGAAAGTTCAACTCTGGGAGTTGAATACAAACATCACCAAAAAGTTCCTGAGAATGCATCTGTCTAGTTTTTCTATGAAGCTATTCCCTTTACTACCATAGGCCTCAAAGCGCTCCAAATCTCCACTTGCACATTCCACAACAAGAGTGTTTCCAAACTGCTCTATCAATAGGAATGTTCAACTCTGTGAGGTGAATGCAATCATCACAAAGCAGTTTCTGAGAATGCTTCCGTTTAGTTAGGTGCAGTTATCCCGTTTCCAACGAAATCCTCAGAGAGGTCCAAATATCCACTTGTAGATTCTACAAAAAGTGTGTCTCAAACCTGCTCCATCCAGAGGAATGGTCAGCTCTGTGATTTAAACTCAATCATCACAAAGTATTTTCTGAGAATGCTTCTGTCTAGATTTTATGCGAAGATATACCCGTTTCGAACGAAGGCCACAGAGTGGTCCAAATAGCCACTTGCAGATCCTACAAAAAGAGTGTTTCAAACCTGAACTATCAAAGGAAGGTTCAACTCTGGGATTTGAATGAAAACATCACCAAGAAGTTTCTGAGAATGCTTCTGTTTAGTTTTTATGTGAAGATATTCCCGTTTCCAAAGACATCTTCGGAGAGGTCCACATATCCACTTGCAGATTCCACAAAAAGAGAGTTTCAACACTGCTCTATCCATAGGAGGGTTCAACTCTGTGAGTTGAATGCAATCATCACAGAGAAGTTTCTGAGAAGGCTTCTCTCCAGTTTTTATGTGACCATAATTCGTTTTCCACCACAGGCCTGAAAGCGCTCCAAATGTCCACTTGCAGACACTACGAAAAGCATGTTTCAGAACTACTCTATGAAAAGCAACGTGAAACTCTGGGAGTTGAACACAAACATCACAGAGAAGTTTCTGAGAATGCTTCTGTTTAGCTTTTCTGTGAAGGTTATAACGTTTCCAACGAAATCTTCAAAGAGGTCCAAATATCCACTTGCAGATTCCACAGAAAGAGTGTTTGGAAACTGCTGTTTGAAAAGGAACCTTCAACTCTGTGAGTTGAATGCAATCATCACAAAGAAGTTTCTGACAATGCTTCTATCTAGCTTTTACGGGAAGATAATTCCTTTTCCACCACAGGCCTCAAAGCTCCCCAAATGTCCACTTGCACATTCTGGAAAAAGAGTGTTTCAAAGCTTCTCTCTCGAAAGGAAAGTTCAACTCTGTGAGTTGAATGCAAGCATCACAAAGAAGTTTCTGAGAATGCTACTGTCTAGCTTTTATATGAAGCTCTTTCCTTTACTACCATAGACCTCAAAGCGGTCCATATCTCCACTTGCAGATTCTACACAAAGAGAGTTTCCAAACTGCTCTGTCAAAGGGAATGTTCAACTCTGTGACTTGAATGCAATCATCACAAAGTAGTTTCTGAGAATGCTTCTGTTTTAGTTCTGTGCGTTTTATCCCGTTTCCAACGAAATCCTCAGAGAGGCCCAAATATCCACTTGCAGATTCTACAAATAGTGTGTTTCGAAACTGCTCCATCCAAAGGAATGTTCAGCTCTGTGAGTTAAACTCAGTCGTCACCAAGAGTTTTCTGTGAATGCTTCTGTTTTAGTTCTGTGCGGTTTATCCCGTTTCCAACGAAATCCTCAGAGAGGACCAAATATCCACTTGCAGTTTCTACAAAAATAGTGTTTCAAAGCTGCACTATCAAAGAAAGGTTCAGCACTGTGAGTTGAATGCAAACACCACGAAGAGGGCTCTGAGAATTCTTCTGTTTAGTTCTGTGCGGTTTATCCCGTTTCCAACGAAATCCTCAGAGAGGACCAAATATCCACTTGCAGTTTCTACAAGAAGAGTGTTTCAAAGCTGAACTATCAAAGAAAGGTTCAGCACTGTGAGTTGAATGCAAACATCACGAAGAGGGTTCTGAGAATGCTTCTGTCTTCTTTTTATAGGAAGTTATTTCCTTTACTACGGTAGGCCTCAAAGAAGTGTAATTATCCCCTTGCAGTTTCTACAAAAAGAGTGTTTCAAACCTGAACTATCAAAGAAAGGTTCCACACTGTGAGTTGAATGCAGACATCACGAAGAAGGTTCTGAGAATGCTTCTGTTTAGTCAGCTGAAATTATCCCGTTTCCAACGAATTACTCTGAGAGGTCCAAATATGCACTTGCAGATTCTGCAGAAAGTGTGTTTCTAAACTGCTACATCGCAAGGAATGTTCAGCTCTGTGAGTTCAACTCAATCATCCCAAAGAATTTTCTGAGAAAGCTTCTGTCTAGATGTCATGTGAAGATATACCCGTTTCGAACGAAGGACACAGAGTGGTCCAAATATCCACTTGTAGATCCTGCAAAAAGAGTGTTTCAAACGTGAACTTTGAAAGGAAAGTTCAACTCTGGGATTTGAATGCAAACATCACAAAGAAGATTCTGAGACTGCTTCTGTATAGTTTTTATGTGAAGATGATTCCGTTTCCAACGAAATCTTCAAAGAGGTCTACATGTCCCCTTGCAGATGCCACAGAAAGAGAGTTTCAAAACTGCGCTCTCAAAAGGAGTGTTCAACTCCGTGAGTTGAATGCAGTCATCACAGAGAAGCTTCTGAGAATGCTTCTGTCTAGTATTTAGGTGAAGATATTTCCTTTTCCACCACAAACCACAAAGCCCTCCAAACGTCCACTTGCAGATTCTAGAAAAAGAGTGTTTCATAGCTGCTCTTTCCAAAGGAAAGTTCAACTCTGGGAGTTGAATACAAACATCACCAAAAAGAAGTTCCTGAGAATGCATCTGTCTAGTTTTTCTATGAAGCTATTCCCTTTACTACCACAGGCCTCAAAGCGCTCCAAATCTCCACTTGCACATTCCACAACAAGAGTGTTTCCAAACTGCTCTATCAATAGGAATGTTCAACTCTGTGAGGTGAATGCAATCATCACAAAGCAGTTTCTGAGAATGCTTCCGTTTAGTTAGGTGCAGTTATCCCGTTTCCAACGAAATCCTCAGAGAGGTCCAAATATCCACTTGTAGATTCTACAAAAAGTGTGTCTCAAACCTGCTCCATCCAAAGGAATGTTCAGCTCTGTGAGTTCAACTCAATCATCACAAAGTATTTTCTGAGAATGCTTCTGTCTAGATTTTATGCGAAGATATACCCGTTTCGAACGAAGGCCTCAGAGTAGTCCAAATAGCCACTTGCAGATCCTACAAAAAGAGTGTTTCAAACCTGAACTATCAAAGGAAGGTTCAACTCTGGGATTTGTATGCAAACATCACCAAGAAATTTCTGAGAATGCTTCTGTTTAGTTTTTATGTGAAGATATTCCCGTTTCCAAAGACATCTTCGGAGAGGTCCACATATCCACTTGCAGATTCCACAAAAAGAGAGTTTCAACACTGCTCTATCCATAGGAGGGTTCAACTCTGTGAGTTGAATGCAATCATCACAGAGAAGTTTCTGAGAAGGCTTCTCTCCAGTTTTTATGTGACCATAATTCGTTTTCCACCACAGGCCTGAAAGCGCTCCAAATGTCCACTTGCAGACACTACGAAAAGCATGTTTCAGAACTACTCTATGAAAAGCAACGTGAAACTCTGGGAGTTGAACACCAAACATCACAGAGAAGTTTCTGAGAATGCTTCTGTTTAGCTTTTCTGTGAAGATTCTCCCGTTTCCAACGAAATCTTCAAAGAGGTCCAAATATCCACTTGCAGATTCCACAGAAAGAGTGATTGGAAACTGCTCTTTGAAAAGGAACCTTCAACTCTGTGAGTTGAATGCAATCATCACAAAGAAGTTTCTGACAATGCTTCTGTCTAGCTTTTACGGGAAGATAATTCCTTTTCCACCACAGGCCTCAATGCCCTCCAAATGTCCACTTGCAGATTCTGGAAAAGAGTGTTTCAAAGCTTCTCTCTCGAAAGGAAAGTTCAACTCTGTGAGTTGAATGCAAGCATCACAAAGAAGTTTCTGAGAATGCTACTGTCTAGCTTTTATATGAAGCTATTTCCTTTACTACCATAGGCCTCAAAGCGGTCCATATCTCCACTTGCAGATTCTACACAAAGAGAGTTTCCAAACTGCTCTGTCAAAGGGAATGTTCAACTCTGTGACTTGAATGCAATCATCACAAAGTAGTTTCTGAGAATGCTTCTGTTTAGTTCTGTGCGGTTTATCCCGTTTCCAACGAAATCCTCAGAGAGGCCTAAATATCCACTTGCACATTCTACAAATAGTGTGTTTCGAAACTGCTCCATCCAAAGGAATGTTCAGCTCTGTGAGTTAAACTCAGTCGTCACCAAGAGTTTTCTGTGAATGCTTCTGTTTTAGTTCTGTGCGGGTTATCCCGTTTCCAACGAAATCCTCAGAGAGGTCCAAATATCTACTTGCAGTTTCTACAGAAAGACCGTTTCAAACCTGAACTATCAAAGAAAGGTTCAACACTGTGAGTTGAATGCAAACATCACGAAGAAGGTTCTGAGAATGCTTCTGTTTAGTTCTGTGCAGTTTATCCCGTTTCCAACGAAATGCTCAGAGAGGACCAAATATCCACTTGCAGTTTCTACAAAAAGAGTGTTTCAAAGCTGAACTATCAAAGAAAGGTTCAGCACTGTGAGTTGAATGCAAACATCACGAAGAGGGTTCTGAGAATGCTTCTGTCTTCTTTCTATAGGAAGTTATTTCCTTTACTACGGTAGGCCTCAAAGAAGTGCAATTATCCCCTTGCAGTTTCTACAAAAAGAGTGTTTCAAACCTGAACTATCAAAGAAAGGTTCCACACTGTGAGTTGAATGCACACATCACGAAGAAGGTTCTGAGAATGCTTCTGTTTAGTCAGCTGAAATTATCCCGTTTCCAACGAATTCCTCAGAGAGGTCCACATATGCACTTGCAGATTCTGCAGAAAGTGTGTTTCTAAACTGCTACATCGCAAGGAATGTTCAGCTCTGTGAGTTCCACTCAATCATCCCAAAGAATTTTCTGAGAAAGCTTCTGTCTAGGTGTCATGTGAAGATATACCCGTTCCGAACGAAGGACACAGAGTGGTCCAAATATCCACTTGTAGATCCTGCAAAAAGAGTGTTTCAAACGTGAACTTTGAAAGGAAAGTTCAACTCTGGGATTTGAATGCAAACATCACAAAGAAGATTCTGAGACTGCTTCTGTATAGATTTTATGTGAAGATGATTCCGTTTCCAACGAAATCTTCAAAGAGGTCTACATGTCCCCTTGCAGATGCCACAGAAAGAGAGTTTCAAAACTGCGCTCTCAAAAGGAGTGTTCAACTCCGTGAGTTGAATGCAGTCATCACAGAGAAGCTTCTGAGAATGCTTCTCTCTAGTATTTAGGTGAAGATATTTCCTTTTCCACCACAATCCACAAAGCACTCCAAACGTCCACTTGCAGATTCTAGAAAAAGAGTGTTTCATAGCTGCTCTTTCCAAAGGAAAGCTCAACTCTGGGAGTTGAATACAAACATCACCAAAAAGTTCCTGAGAATGCATCTGTCTAGTTTTTCTATGAAGCTATTCCCTTTACTACCATAGGCCTCAAAGCGCTCCAAATCTCCACTTGCACATTCCACAACAAGAGTGTTTCCAAACTGCTCTATCAATAGGAATGTTCAACTCTGTGAGGTGAATGCAATCATCACAAAGCAGTTTCTGAGAATGCTTCCGTTTAGTTAGGTGCAGTTATCCCGTTTCCAACGAAATCCTCAGAGAGGTCCAAATATCCACTTGTAGATTCTACAAAAAGTGTGTCTCAAACCTGCTCCATCCAAAGGAATGTTCAGCTCTGTGAGTTCAACTCAATCATCACAAAGTATTTTCTGAGAATGCTTCTGTCTAGATTTTATGCGAAGATATACCCGTTTCGAACGAAGGCCACAGAGTGGTCCAAATAGCCACTTGCAGATCCTACAAAAAGAGTGTTTCAAACCTGAACTATCAAAGGAAGGTTCAACTCTGGGATTTGAATGCAAACATCACCAAGAAGTTTCTGAGAATGCTTCTGTTTAGTTTTTATGTGAAGATATTCCCGTTTCCAAAGACATCTTCAGAGAGGTGCACATATCCACCTGCAGATTCCACAAAAAGAGAGTTTCAACACTGCTCTATCCATAGGAGGGTTCAACTCTGTGAGTTGAATGCAATCATCACAGAGAAGTTTCTGAGAAGGCTTCTCTCCAGTTTTTATGTGACCATAATTCGTTTTCCACCACAGGCCTGAAAGCGCTCCAAATGTCCACTTGCAGACACTACGAAAAGCATGTTTCAGAACTACTCTATGAAAAGCAACGTGAAACTCTGGGAGTTGAACACAAACATCACAGAGAAGTTTCTGAGAATGCTTCTGTTTTAGTTCTGTGCGTTTTATCCCGTTTCCAACGAAATCCTCAGAGAGGCCCAAATATCCACTTGCAGATTCCACAGAAAGAGTGATTGGAAACTGCTGTTTGAAAAGGAACCTTCAACTCTGTGAGTTGAATGCAATCATCACAAAGAAGTTTCTGACAATGCTTCTGTTTTAGTTCTGTGCGGTTTATCCCGTTTCCAACGAAATCCTCAGAGAGGACCAAACATCCACTTGCAGTTTCTACAAAAAGAGTGTTTCAAAGCTGCACTATCAAAGAAAGGTTCAGCACTGTGAGTTGAATGCAAACATCACGAAGAGGGCTCTGAGAATTCTTCTGTTTAGTTCTGTGCGGTTTATCCCGTTTCCAACGAAATCCTCAGAGAGGACCAAATATCCACTTGCAGTTTCTACAAGAAGAGTGTTTCAAAGCTGAACTATCAAAGAAAGGTTCAGCACTGTGAGTTGAATGCAAACATCACGAAGAGGGTTCTGAGAATGCTTCTGTCTTCTTTTTATAGGAAGTTATTTCCTTTACTACGGTAGGCCTCAAAGAAGTGCAATTATCCCCTTGCAGTTTCTACAAAAAGAGTGTTTCAAACCTGAACTATCAAAGAAAGTTTCCACACTGTGAGTTGAATGCAGACATCACGAAGAAGGTTCTGAGAATGCTTCTGTTTAGTCAGCTGAAATTATCCCGTTTCCAACGAATTCCTCAGAGAGGTCCAAATATGCACTTGCAGATTCTGCAGAAAGTGTGTTTCTAAACTGCTACATCGCAAGGAATGTTCAGCTCTGTGAGTTCCACTCAATCATCCCAAAGAATTTTCTGAGAAAGCTTCTGTCTAGATGTCATGTGAAGATATACCCGTTTCGAACGAAGGACACAGAGTGGTCCAAATATCCACTTGTAGATCCTGCAAAAAGAGTGTTTCAAACGTGAACTTTAAAGTAAAGTTCAATTCTGGGATTTGAATGCAAACATCACAAAGAAGATTCTGAGACTGCTTCTGTATAGTTTTTATGTGAAGATGATTCCGTTTCCAATGAAATCTTCAAAGAGGTCTACATGTCCCCTTGCAGATGCCACAGAAAGAGAGTTTCAAAACTGCGCTCTCAAAAGGAGTGTTCAACTCCGTGAGTTGAATGCAGTCATCACAGAGAAGCTTCTGAGAATGCTTCTCTCTAGTATTTAGGTGAAGATATTTCCTTTTCCACCACAAACCACAAAGCCCTCCAAACGTCCACTTGCAGATTCTAGAAAAAGAGTGTTTCATAGCTGCTCTTTCCAAAGGAAAGTTCAACTCTGGGAGTTGAATACAAACATCACCAAAAAGTTCCTGAGAATGCATCTGTCTAGTTTTTCTATGAAGCTATTCCCTTTACTACCATAGGCCTCAAAGCGCTCCAAATCTCCACTTGCACATTCCACAACAAGAGTGTTTCCAAACTGCTCTATCAATAGGAATGTTCAACTCTGTGAGGTGAATGCAATCATCACAAAGCAGTTTCTGAGAATGCTTCCGTTTAGTTAGGTGCAGTTACCCCGTTTCCAACGAAATCCTCAGAGAGGTCCAAATATGCACTTGTAGATTCTACAAAAAGTGTGTCTGAAACCTGCTCCATCCAAAGGAATGTTCAGCTCTGTGAGTTCAACTCAATCATCACAAAGTATTTTCTGAGAATGCTTCTGTCTAGATTTTATGCGAAGATGTACCCGTTTCGAACGAAGGCCACAGAGTGGTCCAAATATCCACTTGCAGATCCTACAAAAAGAGTGTTTCAAACCTAAACTATCAAAGGAAGGTTCAACTCTGGGATTTGAAAGCAAACATCACCAAGAAGTTTCTGAGAATGCTTCTGTTTAGTTTTTATGTGAAGATATTCCCGTTTCCAAAGACATCTTCGGAGAGGTCCACATATCCACTTGCAGATTCCACAAAAAGAGAGTTTCAACACTGCTCTATCCATAGGAGGGTTCAACTCTGTGAGTTGAATGCAATCATCACAGAGAAGTTTCTGAGAAGGCTTCTCTCCAGTTTTTATGTGACCATAATTCGTTTTCCACCACAGGCCTGAAAGCGCTCCAAATGTCCACTTGCAGACACTACGAAAAGCATGTTTCAGAACTACTCTATGAAAAGCAACGTGAAACTCTGGGGAGTTGAACACAAACATCACAGAGAAGTTTCTGAGAATGCTTCTGTTTTAGTTCTGTGCGTTTTATCCCGTTTCCAACGAAATCCTCAGAGAGGCCCAAATATCCACTTGCAGATTCCACAGAAAGAGTGATTGGAAACTGCTGTTTGAAAAGGAACCTTCAACTCTGTGAGTTGAATGCAATCATCACAAAGAAGTTTCTGACAATGCTTCTGTTTTAGTTCTGTGCGGCTTATCCCGTTTCCAA
Organism: Homo sapiens; assembly: GCF_000001405.40. Lineage (NCBI taxonomy): Eukaryota > Metazoa > Chordata > Mammalia > Primates > Hominidae > Homo > Homo sapiens. The sequence continues at coordinate 25,776,567 of NC_000017.11, read as the reverse complement.
CGAAATCCTCAGAGAGGACCAAATATCCACTTGCAGTTTCTACAAAAAGAGTGTTTCAAAGCTGCACTATCAAAGAAAGGTTCAGCACTGTGAGTTGAATGCAAACATCACGAAGAGGGCTCTGAGAATGCTTCTGTTTAGTTCTGTGCGGTTTATCCCGTTTCCAACGAAATCCTCAGAGAGGACCAAATATCCACTTGCAGTTTCTACAAGAAGAGTGTTTCAAAGCTGAACTATCAAAGAAAGGTTCAGCACTGTGAGTTGAATGCAAACATCACGAAGAGGGTTCTGAGAATGCTTCTGTCTTCTTTCTATAGGAAGTTATTTCCTTTACTACGGTAGGCCTCAAAGAAGTGCAATTATCCCCTTGCAGTTTCTACAAAAAGAGTGTTTCACACCTGAACTATCAAAGAAAGGTTCCACACTGTGAGTTGAATGCAGACATCACGAAGAAGGTTCTGAGAATGCTTCTGTTTAGTCAGCTGAAATTATCCCGTTTCCAACGAATTCCTCAGAGAGGTCCAAATATGCACTTGCAGATTCTGCAGAAAGTGTGTTTCTAAACTGCTACATCGCAAGGAATGTTCAGCTCTGTGAGTTCCACTCAATCATCCCAAAGAATTTTCTGAGAAAGCTTCTGTCTAGATGTCGTGTGAAGATATACCCGTTTCGAACGAAGGACACAGAGTGGTCCAAATATCCACTTGTAGATCCTGCAAAAAGAGTGTTTCAAACGTGAACTTTGAAAGGAAAGTTCAACTCTGGGATTTGAATGCAAACATCACAAAGAAGATTCTGAGACTGCTTCTGTATAGTTTTTATGTGAAGATGATTCCGTTTCCAACGAAATCTTCAAAGAGGTCCACATGTCCCCTTGCGGATGCCACAGAAAGAGAGTTTCAAAACTGCGCTCTCAAAAGGAGTGTTCAACTCCGTGAGTTGAAAGCAGTCATCACAGAGAAGCTTCTGAGAATGCTTCTATCTAGTATTTAGGTGAAGATATTTCCTTTTCCACCACAAACCACAAAGCCCTCCAAACGTCCACTTGCAGATTCTAGAAAAAGAGTGTTTCATAGCTGCTCTTTCCAAAGGAAAGTTCAACTCTGGGAGTTGAATACAAACATCACCAAAAAGTTCCTGAGAATGCATCTGTCTAGTTTTTCTATGAAGCTATTCCCTTTACTACCATAGGCCTCAAAGCGCTCCAAATCTCCACTTGCACATTCCACAACAAGAGTGTTTCCAAACTGCTCTATCAATAGGAATGTTCAACTCTGTGAGGTGAATGCAATCATCACAAAGCAGTTTGCTGAGAATGCTTCCGTTTAGTTAGGTGCAGTTATCCCGTTTCCAATGAAATCCTCAGAAAGATCCAAATATCCACTTGTAGATTCTACAAAAAGTGTGTCTCAAACCTGCTCCATCCAAAGGAATGTTCAGCTCTGTGAATTAAACTCAATCATCACAAAGTATTTTCTGAGAATGCTTCTGTCTAGATTTTATGCGAAGATATACCCGTTTCGAACGAAGGCCACAGAGTGGTCCAAATATCCACTTGCAGATCCTACAAAAAGAGTGTTTCAAACCTGAACTATCAAAGGAAGGTTCGACTCTGGGATTTGAATGCAAACATCACCAAGAAGTTTCTGAGAATGCTTCTGTTTAGTTTTTATGTGAAGATATTCCCGTTTCCAAAGGACATCTTCGGAGAGGTCCACATATCCACTTGCAGATTCCACAAAAAGAGAGTTTCAACACTGCTCTATCCATAGGAGGGTTCAACTCTGTGAGTTGAATGCAATCATCACAGAGAAGTTTCTGAGAAGGCTTCTCTCCAGTTTTTATGTGACCATAATTCGTTTTCCACCACAGGCCTGAAAGCGCTCCAAATGTCCACTTGTAGACACTACGAAAAGCATGTTTCAGAACTACTCTATGAAAAGCAATGTGAAACTCTGGGAGTTGAACACAAACATCACAGAGAAGTTTCTGAGAATGCTTCTGTTTAGCTTTCCTGTGAAGATTCTCCCGTTTCCAACGAAATCTTCAAAATAGGTCCAAATATCCACTTGCAGATTCCACAGAAAGAGTGATTGGAAACTGCTCTTTGAAAAGGAACCTTCAACTCTGTGAGTTGAATGCAATCATCACAAAGAAGTTTCTGACAATGCTTCTATCTAGCTTTTACGGGAAGATAATTCCTTTTCCACCACAGGCCTCAAAGCCCTCCAAATGTCCACTTGCAGATTCTGGAAAAAGAGTGTTTCAAAGCTTCTCTCTCGAAAGGAAAGTTCAACTCTGTGAGTTGAATGCAAGCATCACAAAGAAGTTTCTGAGAATGCTACTGTCTAGCTTTTATATGAAGCTATTTCCTTTACTACCATAGTCCTCAAAGCGGTCTATATCTCCACTTGCAGATTCTACACAAAGAGAGTTTCCAAACTGCTCTGTCAAAGGGAATGTTCAACTCTGTGACTTGAATGCAATCATCAAAAAGTAGTTTCTGAGAATGCTTCTGTTTAGTTCTGTGCGGTTTATCCCGTTTCCAACGAAATCCTCAGAGAGGCCCAAATATCCACTTGCACATTCTACAAATAGTGTGTTTCGAAACTGCTCCATCCAAAGGGATGTTCAGCTCTGTGAGTTAAACTCAGTCGTCACCAAGAGTTTTCTCTGAATGCTTCTGTTTTAGTTCTGTGCGGGTTATCCCGTTTCCAACGAAATCCTCAGAGAGGTCCAAATATCTACTTGCAGTTTCTACAGAAAGACCGTTTCAAACCTGAACTATCAAAGAAAGGTTCAACACTGTGAGTTGAATGCAAACATCACGAAGAAGGTTCTGAGAATGCTTCTGTTTAGTTCTGTGCGGTTTATCCCGTTTCCAACGAAATCCTCAGAAAGGACCAAATATCCACTTGCAGTTTCTACAAGAAGAGTGTTTCAAAGCTGAACTATCAAAGAAAGGTTCAGCACTGTGAGTTGAATGCAAACATCACGAAGAGGGTTCTGAGAATGCTTCTGTCTTCTTTTTAGAGAAAGTTATTTCCTTTACTACGGTACTCCTCAAAGAGTGCAATTATCCCCTTGCAGTTTCTACAAAAAGAGTGTTTCAAACCTGAACTATCAAAGAAAGGTTCCACACTGTGAGTTGAATGCAGACATCACGAAGAAGGTTCTGAGAATGCTTCTGTTTAGTCAGCTGAAATTATCCCGTTTCCAACGAATTCCTCACAGAGGTCCAAATATGCACTTGCAGATTCTGCAGAAAGTGTGTTTCTAAACTGCTACATCGCAAGGAATGCTCAGCTCTGTGAGTTCAACTCAATCATCCCAAAGAATTTTCTGAGAAAGCTTCTGTCTAGATGTCGTGTGAAGATATACCCGTTTCGAACGAAGGACACAGAGTGGTCCAAATATCCACTTGTAGATCCTGCAAAAAGAGTGTTTCAAACGTGAACTTTGAAAGGAAAGTTCAACTCTGGGATTTGAATGCAAACATCACAAAGAAGATTCTGAGACTGCTTCTGTATAGTTTTTATGTGAAGATGATTCCGTTTCCAACGAAATCTTCAAAGAGGTCTACATGTCCCCTTGCAGATGCCACAGAAAGAGAGTTTCAAAACTGCGCTCTCAAAAGGAGTGTTCAACTCCGTGAGTTGAATGCAGTCATCACAGAGAAGCTTCTGAGAATGCTTCTATCTAGTATTTAGGTGAAGATATTTCCTTTTCCACCACAAACCACAAAGCCCTCCAAACGTCCACTTGCAGATTCTAGAAAAAGAGTGTTTCATAGCTGCTCTTTCCAAAGGAAAGTTCAACTCTGGGAGTTGAATACAAACATCACCAAAAAGTTCCTGAGAATGCATCTGTCTAGTTTTTCTATGAAGCTATTCCCTTTACTACCACAGGCCTCAAAGCGCTCCAAATCTCCACTTGCACATTCCACAACAAGAGTGTTTCCAAACTGCTCTATCAATAGGAATGTTCAACTCTGTGAGGTGAATGCAATCATCACAAAGCAGTTTCTGAGAATGCTTCCGTTTAGTTAGGTGCAGTTATCCCGTTTCCAACGAAATCCTCAGAGAGGTCCAAATATCCACTTGTAGATTCTACAAAAAGTGTGTCTCAAACCTGCTCCATCCAAAGGAATGTTCAGCTCTGTGATTTAAACTCAATCATCACAAAGTATTTTCTGAGAATGCCTCTGTCTAGATTTTATGCGAAGATATACCCGTTTCGAACGAAGGCCACAGAGTGGTCCAAATAGCCACTTGCAGATCCTACAAAAAGAGTGTTTCAAAGCTGAACTATCAAAGGAAGGTTCAACTCTGGGATTTGAATGCAAACATCACCAAGAAGTTTCTGAGAATGCTTCTGTTTAGTTTTTATGTGAAGATATTCCCGTTTCCAAAGACATCTTCGGAGAGGTCCACATATCCACTTGCAGATTCCACAAAAAGAGAGTTTCAACACTGCTCTATCCATAGGAGGGTTCAACTCTGTGAGTTGAATGCAATCATCACAGAGAAGTTTCTGAGAAGGCTTCTATCTAGCTCTTACGGGAAGATAATTCCTTTTCCACCACAGGCCTCAAAGCTCCCCAAATGTCCACTTGCAGACACTACGAAAAGCATGTTTCAGAACTACTCTATGAAAAGCAACGTGAAACTCTGGGAGTTGAACACAAACATCACAGAGAAGTTTCTGAGAATGCTACTGTCTAGCTTTTATATGAAGCTATTTCCTTTACTACCATAGGCCTCAAAGCGGTCCATATCTCCACTTGCAGATTCTACACAAAGAGAGTTTCCAAACTGCTCTGTCAAAGGGAATGTTCAACTCTGTGACTTGAATGCAATCATCACAAAGTAGTTTCTGAGAATGCTTCTGTTTAGTTCTGTGCGGTTTATCCCGTTTCCAACGAAATCCTCAGAGAGGCCTAAATATCCACTTGCACATTCTACAAATAGTGTGTTTCGAAACTGCTCCATCCAAAGGAATGTTCAGCTCTGTGAGTTAAACTCAGTCGTCACCAAGAGTTTTCTGTGAATGCTTCTGTCTTCTTTTTATAGGAAGTTATTTCCTTTACTACGGTACTCCTCAAAGAGTGCAATTATCCCCTTGCAGTTTCTACAGAAAGAGTGTTTCAAACCTGAACTATCAAAGAAAGGTTCCACACTGTGAGTTGAATGCAGACATCACGAAGAAGGTTCTGAGAATGCTTCTGTTTAGTCAGCTGAAATTATCCCGTTTCCAACGAATTCCTCAGAGAGGTCCAAATATGCACTTGCAGATTCTGCAGAAAGTGTGTTTCTAAACTGCTACATCGCAAGGAATGTTCAGCTCTGTGAGTTCAACTCAATCATCCCAAAGAATTTTCTGAGAAAGCTTCTGTCTAGATGTCGTGTGAAGATATACCCGTTTCGAACGAAGGACACAGAGTGGTCCAAATATCCACTTGTAGATCCTGCAAAAAGAGTGTTTCAAACGTGAACTTTGAAAGGAAAGTTCAACTCTGGGATTTGAATGCAAACATCACAAAGAAGATTCTGAGACTGCTTCTGTATAGTTTTTATGTGAAGATGATTCCGTTTCCAACGAAATCTTCAAAGAGGTCTACATGTCCCCTTGCAGATGCCACAGAAAGAGAGTTTCAAAACTGCGCTCTCAAAAGGAGTGTTCAACTCCGTGAGTTGAATGCAGTCATCACAGAGAAGCTTCTGAGAATGCTTCTATCTAGTATTTAGGTGAAGATATTTCCTTTTCCACCACAAACCACAAAGCCCTCCAAACGTCCACTTGCAGATTCTAGAAAAAGAGTGTTTCATAGCTGCTCTTTCCAAAGGAAAGTTCAACTCTGGGAGTTGAATACAAACATCACCAAAAAGTTCCTGAGAATGCATCTGTCTAGTTTTTCTATGAAGCTATTCCCTTTACTACCATAGGCCTCAAAGCGCTCCAAATCTGCACTTGCACATTCCACAACAAGAGTGTTTCCAAACTGCTCTATCAATAGGAATGGTCAACTCTGTGAGGTGAATGCAATCATCACAAAGCAGTTTCTGAGAATGCTTCCGTTTAGTTAGGTGCAGTTATCCCGTTTCCAACGAAGTCCTCAGAGAGGTCCAAATATCCACTTGTAGATTCTATAAAAAGTGTGTCTCAAACCTGCTCCATCCAAAGGAATGTTCAGCTCTGTGAGTTAAACTCAATCATCAAAAAGTATTTTCTGAGAATGCTTCTGTCTAGATTTTATGCGAAGATGTACCCGTTTCGAACGAAGGCCACAGAGTGGTCCAAATATCCACTTGCAGATCCTACAAAAAGAGTGTTTCAAACCTGAACTCTCAAAGGAAGGTTCAACTCTGGGATTTGAATGCAAACATCACCAAGAAGTTTCTGAGAATGCTTCTGTTTAGTTTTTATGTGAAGATATTCCCGTTTCCAAAGACATCTTCGGAGAGGTCCACATATCCACTTCCAGATTCCACAAAAAGAGAATTTCAACACTGCTCTATCCATAGGAGGGTTCAACTCTGTGAGTTGAATGCAATCATCACGGAGAAGTTTCTGAGAAGTCTTCTCTCCAGTTTTTATGTGACCATAATTCGTTTTCCACCACAGGCCTGAAAGCGCTCCAAATGTCCACTTGCAGACACTACGAAAAGCATGTTTCAGAACTACACTATGAGAAGGAATGTGAAACTCTGGGAGTTGAACACAAACATCACAGAGAAGTTTCTGAGAATGCTTCTGTTTTAGTTCTGTGGGTTTTATCCCGTTTCCAACGAAATCCTCAGAGAGGCCCAAATATCCACTTGCAGATTCCACAGAAAGAGTGATTGGAAACTGCTGTTTGAAAAGGAACCTTCAACTCTGTGAGTTGAATGCAATCATCACAAAGAAGTTTCTGACAATGCTTCTGTTTTAGTGCTGTGCGGTTTATCCCGTTTCCAACGAAATCCTCAGAGAGGACCAAATATCCACTTGCAGTTTCTACAAAAGGAGTGTTTCAAAGCTGCACTATCAAAGAAAGGTTCAGCACTGTGAGTTGAATGCAAACATCACGAAGAGGGCTCTGAGAATTCTTCTGTTTAGTTCTGTGCGGTTTATCCCGTTTCCAACGAAATCCTCAGAGAGGACCAAATATCCACTTGCAGTTTCTACAAGAAGAGTGTTTCAAAGCTGAACTATCAAAGAAAGGTTCAGCACTGTGAGTTGAATGCAAACATCACGAAGAGGGTTCTGAGAATGCTTCTGTCTTCTTTCTATAGGAAGTTATTTCCTTTACTACAGTAGGCCTCAAAGAAGTGCAATTATCCCCTTGCAGTTTCTACAAAAAGAGTGTTTCAAACCTGAACTATCAAAGAAAGGTTCCACACTGTGAGTTGAATGCAGACATCACGAAGAAGGTTCTGAGAATGCTTCTGTTTAGTCAGCTGAAATTATCCCGTTTCCAACGAATTCCTCAGAGAGGTCCAAATATGCACTTGCAGATTCTGCAGAAAGTGTGTTTCTAAACTGCTCCATCGCAAGGAATGTTCAGCTCTGTGAGTTCCACTCAATCATCCCAAAGAATTTTCTGAGAAAGCTTCTGTCTAGATGTCGTGTGAAGTTATACCCGTTTCGAACGAAGGACACAGAGTGGTCCAAATATCCACTTGTAGATCCTGCAAAAAGAGTGTTTCAAACGTGAACTTTGAAAGGAAAGTTCAACTCTGGGATTTGAATGCAAACATCACAAAGAAGATTCTGAGACTGCTTCTGTATAGTTTTTATGTGAAGATGATTCCGTTTCCAACGAAATCTTCAAAGAGGTCTACATGTCCCCTTGCAGATGCCACAGAAAGAGAGTTTCAAAACTGCGCTCTCAAAAGGAGTGTTCAACTCCGTGAGTTGAATGCAGTCATCACAGAGAAGCTTCTGAGAATGCTTCTATCTAGTATTTAGGTGAAGATATTTCCTTTTCCACCACAAACCACAAAGCCCTCCAAACGTCCACTTGCAGATTCTAGAAAAAGAGTGTTTCATAGCTGCTCTTTCCAAAGGAAAGTTCAACTCTGGGAGTTGAATACAAACATCACCAAAAGGTTCCTGAGAATGCATCTGTCTAGTTTTTCTATGAAGCTATTCCCTTTACTACCACAGGCCTCAAAGCGCTCCAAATCTCCACTTGCACATTCCACAACAAGAGTGTTTCCAAACTGCTCTATCAATAGGAATGTTCAACTCTGTGAGGTGAATGCAATCATCACAAAGCAGTTTCTGAGAATGCTTCCGTTTAGTTAGGTGCAGTTATCCCGTTTCCAATGAAATCCTCAGAGAGGTCCAAATATCCACTTGTAGATTCTACAAAAAGTGTGTCTCAAACCTGCTCCATCCAAAGGAATGTTCAGCTCTGTGAGTTCAACTCAATCATCACAAAGTATTTTCTGAGAATGCTTCTGTCTAGATTTTATGCGAAGATATACCCGTTTCGAACGAAGGCCACAGAGTGGTCTAAATAGCCACTTGCAGATCCTACAAAAAGAGTGTTTCAAACCTGAACTATCAAAGGAAGGTTCACCTCTGGGATTTGAATGCAAACATCACCAAGAAGTTTCTGAGAATGCTTCTGTTTAGTTTTTATGTGAAGATATTCCCGTTTCCAAAGACATCTTCGGAGAGGTCCACATATCCACTTGCAGATTCCACAAAAAGAGAGTTTCAACACTGCTCTATCCATAGGAGGGTTCAACTCTGTGAGTTGAATGCAATCATCACAGAGAAGTTTCTGAGAAGGCTTCTCTCCAGGTTTTATGGGACCATAAATCGTTTTCCACCACAGGCCTGAAAGCGCTCCAAATGTCCACTTGCAGACACTACGAAAAGCATGTTTCAGAACTACTCTATGAAAGGCAATCTGAAATTCTGGGAGTTGAACACAAACATCACAGAGAAGTTTCTGAGAATGCTTCTGTTTAGCTTTTCTGTGAAGATTCTCCCGTTTCCAACGAAATCTTCAAAGAGGTCCAAATATCCACTTGCAGATTCCACAGAAAGAGTGATTGGAAACTGCTCTTTGAAAAGGAACCTTCAACTCTGTGAGTTGAATGCAATCATCACAAAGAAGTTTCTGACAATGCTTCTATCTACCTTTTACGGGAAGATAATTCCTTTTCCACCACAGGCCTCAAAGCCCTCCAAATGTCCACTTGCAGATTCTGGAAAAAGAGTGTTTCAAAGCTTCTCTCTCGAAAGGAAAGTTCAACTCTGTGAGTTGAATGCAAGCATCACAAAGAAGTTTCTGAGAATGCTACTGTCTAGCTTTTATATGAAGCTATTTCCTTTACTACCATAGGCCTCAAAGCGGTCCATATCTCCACTTCCAGATTCCACACAAAGAGAGTTTCCAAACTGCTCTGTCAAAGGGAATGTTCAACTCTGTGACTTGAATGCAATCATCACAAAGTAGTTTCTGAGAATGCTTCTGTTTAGTTCTGTGCGGTTTATCCCGTTTCCAACGAAATCCTCAGAGAGGCCCACATATCCACTTGCACATTCTACAAATAGTGTGTTTCGAAACTGCTCCATCCAAAGGAATGTTCAGCTCTGTGAGTTAAACTCAGTCGTCACCAAGAGTTTTCTGTGAATGCTTCTGTTTTAGTTCTGTGCGGTTTATCCCGTTTCCAACGAAATCCTCAGAGAGGTCCAAATATCTACTTGCAGTTTCTACAGAAAGACCGTTTCCAACCTGAACTATCAAAGAAAGGTTCAACACTGTGAGTTGAATGCAAACATCACGAAGAAGGTTCTGAGAATGCTTCTGTTTAGTTCTGTGCGGTTTATCCCGTTTCCAACGAAATCCTCAGAGAGGACCAAATATCCACTTGCAGTTTCTACAAAAAGAGTGTTTCAAAGCTGGACTATCAAAGAAAGGTTCAGCACCGTCAGTTGAATGCAAACATCATGAAGAGGGTTCTGAGAATGCTTCTGTCTTCTTTTTATAGGAAGTTATCTCCTTTACTACGGTAGGCCTCAAAGAAGTGCAATGATCCCCTTGCAGTTTCTACAAAAAGAGTGTTTCAAACCTGAACTATCAAAGAAAGGTTCCACACTGTGAGTTGAATGCAGACATCACGAAGAAGGTTCTGAGAATGCTTCTGTTTAGTCAGCTGAAATTATCCCGTTTCCAACGAATTCCTCAGAGAGGTCCACATATGCACTAGCAGATTCTGCAGAAAGTGTGTTTCTAAACTGCTACATCGCAAGGAGTGTTCAGCTCTGTTTGCTCAACTCAATCATCCCAAAGAATTTTCTGAGAAAGCTTCTGTCTAGATGTCATGTGAAGATATACCCGTTTCGAACGAAGGACACAGAGTGGTCCAAATATCCACTTGTAGGTCCTGCAAAAAGAGTGTTTCAAACGTGAACTTGGAAAGGAAAGTTCAACTCTGGGATTTGAATGCAAACATCACAAAGAAGATTCTGAGACTGCTTCTGTATAGTTTTTATGTGAAGATGATTCCGTTTCCAACGAAATCTTCAAAGAGGTCTACATGTCCCCTTGCAGATGCCACAGAAAGAGAGTTTCAAAACTACGCTCTCAAAAGGAGTGTTCAACTCCGTGAGTTGAATGCAGTCATCACAGAGAAGCTTCTGAGAATGCTTCTATCTAGTATTTAGGTGAAGATATTTCCTTTTCCACCACAAACCACAAAGCCCTCCAAACGTCCACTTGCAGATTCTAGAAAAAGAGTGTTTCATAGCTGCTCTTTCCAAAGGAAAGTTCAACTCTGGGAGTTGAATACAAACATCACCAAAAAGTTCCTGAGAATGCATCTGTCAATTTTTTCTATGAAGCTATTCCCTTTACTACCATAGGCCTCAAAGCGCTCCAAATCTCCACTTGCACATTCCACAACAAGAGTGTTTCCAAACTGCTCTATCAATAGGAATGTTCAACTCTGTGAGGTGAATGCAATCATCACAAAGCAGTTTCTGAGAATGCTTCCGTTTAGTTAGGTGCAGTTATCCCGTTTCCAACGAAATCCTCAGAGAGGTCCAAATATCCACTTGTAGATTCTACAAAAAGTGTGTCTCAAACCTGCTCCATCCAAAGGAATGGTCAGCTCTGTGATTTAAACTCAATCATCACAAAGTATTTTCTGAGAATGCTTCTGTCTAGATTTTATGCGAAGATATACCAGTTTCGAACGAAGGCCACAGAGTGGTCCAAATAGCCACTTGCAGATCCTACAAAAAGAGTGTTTCAAACCTGAACTATCAAAGGAAGGTTCAACTCTGGGATTTGAATGCAAACATCACCAAGAAGTTTCTGAGAATGCTTCTGTTTAGTTTTTATGTGAAGATATTCCCGTTTCCAAAGACATCTTCGGAGAGGTCCACATATCCACTTGCAGATTCCACAAAAAGAGAGTTTCAACACTGCTCTATCCATAGGAGGGTTCAACTCTGTGAGTTGAATGCAATCATCACAGAGAAGTTTCTGAGAAGGCTTCTCTCCAGTTTTTATGTGACCATAATTCGTTTTCCACCACAGGCCTGAAAGCGCTCCAAATGTCCACTTGCAGACACTACGAAAAGCATGTTTCAGAACTACTCTATGAAAAGCAACGTGAAACTCTGGGGAGTTGAACACAAACATCACAGAGAAGTTTCTGAGAATGCTTCTGTTTTAGTTCTGTGCGTTTTATCCCGTTTCCAACGAAATCCTCAGAGAGGCCCAAATATCCACTTGCAGATTCCACAGAAAGAGTGATTGGAAACTGCTGTTTGAAAAGGAACCTTCAACTCTGTGAGTTGAATGCAATCATCACAAAGAAGTTTCTGACAATGCTTCTATCTAGCTTTTACGGGAAGATAATTCCTTTTCCACCACAGGCCTCAAAGCCCTCCAAATGTCCACTTGCACATTCTGGAAAAAGAGTGTTTCAAAGCTTCTCTCTCGAAAGGAAAGTTCAACTCTGTGAGTTGAATGCAAGCATCACAAAGAAGTTTCTGAGAATGCTACTGTCTAGCTTTTATATGAAGCTATTTCCTTTACTACCATAGGCCTCAAAGCGGTCCATATCTCCACTTGCAGATTCTACACAAAGAGAGTTTCCAAACTGCTCTGTCAAAGGGAATGTTCAACTCTGTGACTTGAATGCAATCATCACAAAGTAGTTTCTGAGAATGCTTCTGTTTAGTTCTGTGCGGTTTATCCCGTTTCCAACGAAATCCTCAGAGAGGCCCAAATATCCACTTGCACATTCTACAGATAGTGTGTTTCGAAACTGCTCCATCCAAAGGAATGTTCAGCTCTGTGAGTTAAACTCAGTCGTCAACAAGAGTTTTCTGTGAATGCTTCTGTTTTAGTTCTGTGCGGTTTATCCCGTTTCCAACGAAATCCTCAGAGAGGACCAAACATCCACTTGCAGTTTCTACAAAAAGAGTGTTTCAAAGCTGCACTATCAAAGAAAGGTTCAGCACTGTGAGTTGAATGCAAACATCACGAAGAGGGCTACTGAGAATTCTTCTGTTTAGTTCTGTGCGGTTTATCCCGTTTCCAACGAAATCCTCAGAGAGGACCAAATATCCACTTGCAGTTTCTACAAGAAGAGTGTTTCAAAGCTGAACTATCAAAGAAAGGTTCAGCACTGTGAGTTGAATGCAAACATCACGAAGAGGGTTCTGAGAATGCTTCTGTCTTCTTTCTATAGGAAGTTATTTCCTTTACTACGGTAGGCCTCAAAGAAGTGCAATTATCCCCTTGCAGTTTCTACAAAAAGAGTGTTTCAAACCTGAACTATCAAAGAAAGGTTCCACACTGTGAGTTGAATGCAGACATGACGAAGAAGGTTCTGAGAATGCTTCTGTTTAGTCAGCTGAAATTATCCCGTTTCCAACGAATTCCTCAGAGAGGTCCAAATATGCACTTGCAGATTCTGCAGAAAGTGTGTTTCTAAACTGCTACATCGCAAGGAATGTTCAGCTCTGTGAGTTCCACTCAATCATCCCAAAGAATTTTCTGAGAAAGCTTCTGTCTAGATGTCATGTGAAGATATACCCGTTTCGAACGAAGGACACAGAGTGGTCCAAATATCCACTTGTAGATCCTGCAAAAAGAGTGTTTCAAACGTGAACTTGGAAAGGAAAGTTCAACTCTGGGATTTGAATGCGAAACATCACAAAGAAGATTCTGAGACTGCTTCTGTATAGTTTTTATGTGAAGATGATTCCGTTTCCAACGAAATCTTCAAAGAGGTCTACATGTCCCCTTGCAGATGCCACAGAAAGAGAGTTTCAAAACTGCGCTCTCAAAAGGAGTGTTCAACTCCGTGAGTTGAATGCAGTCATCACAGAGAAGCTTCTGAGAATGCTTCTCTCTAGTATTTAGGTGAAGATATTTCCTTTTCCACCACAAACCACAAAGCCCTCCAAACGTCCACTTGCAGATTCTAGAAAAAGAGTGTTTCATAGCTGCTCTTTCCAAAGGAAAGTTCAACTCTGGGAGTTGAATACAAACATCACCAAAAAGTTCCTGAGAATGCATCTGTCTAGTTTTTCTATGAAGCTATTCCCTTTACTACCATAGGCCTCAAAGCGCTCCAAATCTCCACTTGCACATTCCACAACAAGAGTGTTTCCAAACTGCTCTATCAATAGGAATGTTCAACTCTGTGAGGTGAATGCAATCATCACAAAGCAGTTTCTGAGAATGCTTCCGTTTAGTTAGGTGCAGTTATCCCGTTTCCAACGAAATCCTCAGAGAGGTCCAAATATCCACTTGTAGATTCTACAAAAAGTGTGTCTCAAACCTGCTCCATCCAAAGGAATGTTCAGCTCTGTGAGTTAAACTCAATCATCACAAAGTATTTTCTGAGAATGCTTCTGTCTAGATTTTATGCGAAGATGTACCCGTTTCGAATGAAGGCCACAGAGTGGTCCAAATATCCACTTGCAGATCCTACAAAAAGAGTGTTTCAAACCTGAACTGTCAAAGGAAGGTTCAACTCTGGGATTTGAATGCAAACATCACCAAGAAGTTTCTGAGAATGCTTCTGTTTAGTTTTTATGTGAAGATATTCCCGTTTCCAAAGACATCTTCGGAGAGGTCCACATATCCACTTGCAGATTCCACAAAAAGAGAGTTTCAACACTGCTCTATCCATAGGAGGGTTCAACTCTGTGAGTTGAATGCAATCATCACAGAGAAGTTTCTGAGAAGGCTTCTCTCCAGTTTTTATGTGACCATAATTCGTTTTCCACCACAGGCCTGGAAGCGCTCCAAATGTCCACTTGTAGACACTACGAAAAGCATGTTTCAGAACTACTCTATGAAAAGCAATGTGAAACTCTGGGAGTTGAACACAAACATCACAGAGAAGTTTCTGAGAATGCTTCTGTTTTAGTTCTGTGCGTTTTATCCCGTTTCCAACGAAATCCTCAGAGAGGCCCAAATATCCACTTGCAGATTCCACAGAAAGAGTGATTGGAAACTGCTGTTTGAAAAGGAACCTTCAACTCTGTGAGTTGAATGCAATCATCACAAAGAAGTTTCCTGACAATGCTTCTGTTTTAGTTCTGTGCGGTTTATCCCGTTTCCAACGAAATCCTCAGAGAGGACCAAACATCCACTTGCAGTTTCTACAAAAAGAGTGTTTCAAAGCTGCACTATCAAAGAAAGGTTCAGCACTGTGAGTTGAATGCAAACATCACGAAGAGGGCTCTGAGAATTCTTCTGTCTTCTTTTTATAGGAAGTTATCTCCTTTACTACGGTAGGCCTCAAAGAAGTGCAATGATCCCCTTGCAGTTTCTACAAAAAGAGTGTTTCAAACCTGAACTGTCAAAGAAAGGTTCCACACTGTGAGTTGAATGCAGACATCACGAAGAAGGTTCTGAGAATGCTTCTGTTTAGTCAGCTGAAATTATCCCGTTTCCAACGATTTCCTCAGAGAGGTCCACATATGCACTTGCAGATTCTGCAGAAAGTGTGTTTCTAAACTGCTACATCGCAAGGAGTGTTCAGCTCTGTTTGCTCAACTCAATCATCCCAAGGAATTTTCTGAGAAAGCTTCTGTCTAGATGTCATGTGAAGATATACCCGTTTCGAACGAAGGACACAGAGTGGTCCAAATATCCACTTGCAGATCCTGCAAAAAGAGTGTTTCAAACGTGAACTTGGAAAGGAAAGTTCAACTCTGGGATTTGAATGCAAACATCACAAAGAAGATTCTGAGACTGCTTCTGTATAGTTTTGATGTGAAGATGATTCCGTTTCCAACGAAATCTTCAAAGAGGTCTACATGTCCCCTTGCAGATGCCACAGAAAGAGAGTTTCAAAACTGCGCTCTCAAAAGGAGTGTTCAACTCCGTGAGTTGAATGCAGTCATCACAGAGAAGCTTCTGAGAATGCTTCTATCTAGTATTTAGGTGAAGATATTTCCTTTTCCACCACAAACCACAAAGCCCTCCAAACGTCCACTTGCAGATTCTAGAAAAACAGTGTTTCATAGCTGCTCTTTCCAAAGGAAAGTTCAACTCTGGGAGTTGAATACAAACATCACCAAAAAGTTCCTGAGAATGCATCTGTCTAGTTTTTCTATGAAGCTATTCCCTTTACTACCATAGGCCTCAAAGCACTCCAAATCTCCACTTGCACATTCCACAACAAGAGTGTTTCCAAACTGCTCTATCAATAGGAATGTTCAACTCTGTGAGGTGAATGCAATCATCACAAAGCAGTTTCTGAGAATGCTTCCGTTTAGTTAGGTGCAGTTATCCCGTTTCCAACGAAATCCTCAGAGAGGTCCAAATATCCACTTGTAGATTCTACAAAAAGTGTGTCTCAAACCTGCTCCATCCAAAGGAATGTTCAGCTCTGTGAGTTAAACTCAATCATCACAAAGTATTTTCTGAGAATGCTTCTGTCTAGATTTTATGCGAAGATGTACCCGTTTCGAACGAAGGCCACAGAGTGGTCCAAATATCCACTTGCAGATCCTACAAAAAGAGTGTTTCAAACCTGAACTATCAAAGGAAGGTTCAACTCTGGGATTTGAATGCAAACATCACCAAGAAGTTTCTGAGAATGCTTCTGTTTAGTTTTTATGTGAAGATATTCCCGTTTCCAAAGACATCTTCGGAGAGGTCCACATATCCACTTGCAGATTCCACAAAAAGAGAGTTTCAACACTGCTCTATCCATAGGAGGGTTCAACTGCTGTGAGTTGAATGCAATCATCACAGAGAAGTTTCTGAGAAGGCTTTCTCTCCAGTTTTTATGTGACCATAATTCGTTTTCCACCACAGGCCTGAAAGCGCTCCAAATGTACACTTGCAGACACTACGAAAAGCATGTTTCAGAACTACTCTATGAAAAGCAATGTGAAACTCTGGGAGTTGAACACAAACATCACAGAGAAGTTTCTGAGAATGCTTCTGTTTTAGTTCTGTGCGTTTTATCCCGTTTCCAACGAAATCCTCAGAGAGGCCCAAATATCCACTTGCAGATTCCACAGAAAGAGTGATTGGAAACTGCTGTTTGAAAAGGAACCTTCAACTCTGTGAGTTGAATGCAATCATCACAAAGAAGTTTCTGACAATGCTTCTATCTAGCTTTTACGGGAAGATAATTCCTTTTCCACCACAGGCCTCAAAGCCCTCCAAATGTCCACTTGCAGATTCTGGAAAAAGAGTGTTTCAAAGCTTCTCTCTCGAAAGGAAAGTTCAACTCTGTGAGTTGAATGCAAGCATCACAAAGAAGTTTCTGAGAATGCTACTGTCTAGCTTTTATATGAAGCTATTTCCTTTACTACCATAGTCCTCAAAGCATTCCATATCTCCACTTGCAGATTCTACACAAAGAGAGTTTCCAAACTGCTCTGTCAAAGGGAATGTTCAGCTCTGTGACTTGAATGCAATCATCACAAAGTAGTTTCTGAGAATGCTTCTGTTTTAGTTCTGTGCGGTTTATCCCGTTTCCATCGAAATCCTCAGAGAGGCCCAAATATCCACTTGCAGATTCTGCAAATAGTGTGTTTCGAAACTGCTCCCGCCAAAGGAATGTTCAGCTCTGTGAGTTAAACTCAGTCGTCACCAAGTGTTTTCTGTGAATGCTTCTGTTTTGTTCTGTGCGGTTTATCCCTTTTCCAAAGAAATCCTCAGAGAGGACCAAGTATCCACTTGCAGTTTCTACAAAAAGAGTGTTTCAAAGCTGAACTATCAAAGAAAGGTTCAGCACTGTGAGTTGAATGCAAACATCACGAGGACGGTTCTTAGAATGCTTCTGTTTAGTTCTGGGCGGTTTATCCCGTTTCCAACGAAATCCTCAGAGAGGACCAAATATCCACTTGCAGTTTCTACAAGAAGAGTGTTTCAAAGCTGAACTATCAAAGAAAGGTTCAGCACTGTGAGTTGAATGCAAACATCACGAAGAGGGTTCTGAGAATGCTTCTGTCTTCTTTCTATAGGAAGTTATTTCCTTTACTACGGTAGGCCTCAAAGAAGTGCAATTATCCCCTTGCAGTTTCTACAAAAAGAGTGTTTCAAACCTGAACTATCAAAGAAAGGTTCCACACTGTGAGTTGAATGCAGACATCACGAAGAAGGTTCTGAGAATGCTTCTGTTTAGTCAGCTGAAATTATCCCGTTTCCAACGAATTCCTCAGAGAGGTCCAAATATGCACTTGCAGATTCTGCAGAAAGTGTGTTTCTAAACTGCTCCATCGCAAGGAATGTTCAGCTCTGTGAGTTCCACTCAATCATCCCAAAGAATTTTCTGAGAAAGCTTCTGTCTAGATGTCGTGTGAAGTTATACCCGTTTCGAACGAAGGACACAGAGTGGTCCAAATATCCACTTGTAGATCCTGCAAAAAGAGTGTTTCAAACGTGAACTTTGAAAGGAAAGTTCAACTCTGGGATTTGAATGCAAACATCACAAAGAAGATTCTGAGACTGCTTCTGTATAGTTTTTATGTGAAGATGATTCCGTTTCCAACGAAATCTTCAAAGAGGTCTACATGTCCCCTTGCAGATGCCACAGAAAGAGAGTTTCAAAACTGCGCTCTCAAAAGGAGTGTTCAACTCCGTGAGTTGAATGCAGTCATCACAGAGAAGCTTCTGAGAATGCTTCTATCTAGTATTTAGGTGAAGATATTTCCTTTTCCACCACAAACCACAAAGCCCTCCAAACGTCCACTTGCAGATTCTAGAAAAAGAGTGTTTCATAGCTGCTCTTTCCAAAGGAAAGTTCAACTCTTGGGAGTTGAATACAAACATCACCAAAAAGTTCCTGAGAATGCATCTGTCTAGTTTTTCTATGAAGCTATTCCCTTTACTACCATAGGCCTCAAAGCGCTCCAAATCTCCACTTGCACATTCCACAACAAGAGTGTTTCCAAACTGCTCTATCAATAGGAATGTTCAACTCTGTGAGGTGAATGCAATCATCACAAAGCAGTTTCTGAGAATGCTTCCGTTTAATTAGGTGCAGTTATCGCGTTTCCAACGAAATCCTCAGAGAGGTCCAAATATCCACTTGTAGTTTCTACAAAAAGTGTGTCTCAAACCTGCTCCATCCAAAGGAATGTTCAGCTCTGTGAGTTAAACTCAATCATCACAAAGTATTTTCTGAGAATGCTTCTGTCTAGATTTTATGCGAAGATGTACCCGTTTCGAACGAAGGCCACAGAGTGGTCCAAATATCCACTTGCAGATCCTACAAAAAGAGTGTTTCAAACCTGAACTATCAAAGGAAGGTTCAACTCTGGGATTTGAATGCAAACATCACCAAGAAGTTTCTGAGAATGCTTCTGTTTAGTTTTTATGTGAAGATATTCCCGTTTCCAAAGACATCTTCGGAGAGGTCCACATATCCACTTGCAGATTCCACAAAAAGAGAGTTTCAACAATGCTCTATCCATAGGAGGGTTCAACTCTGTGAGTTGAATGCAATCATCACAGAGAAGTTTCTGAGAAGGCTTCTCTCCAGTTTTTATGTGACCATAATTCGTTTTCCACCACAGGCCTGAAAGCGCTCCAAATGTCCACTTGCAGACACTACGAAAAGCATGTTTCAGAACTACTCTATGAAAAGCAACGTGAAACTCTGGGAGTTGAACACAAACATCACAGAGAAGTTTCTGAGAATGCTTCTGTTTTAGTTCTGTGCGTTTTATCCCGTTTCCAACGAAATCCTCAGAGAGGCCCAAATATCCACTTGCAGATTCCACAGAAAGAGTGATTGGAAACTGCTGTTTGAAAAGGAACCTTCAACTCTGTGAGTTGAATGCAATCATCACAAAGAAGTTTCTGACAATGCTTCTGTTTTAGTTCTGTGCGGTTTATCCCGTTTCCAACGAAATCCTCAGAGAGGACCAAACATCCACTTGCAGTTTCTACAAAAAGAGTGTTTCAAAGCTGCACTATCAAAGAAAGGTTCAGCACTGTGAGTTGAATGCAAACATCACGAAGAGGGCTCTGAGAATTCTTCTGTTTAGTTCTGTGCGGTTTATCCCGTTTCCAACGAAATCCTCAGAGAGGACCAAATATCCACTTGCAGTTTCTACAAGAAGAGTGTTTCAAAGCTGAACTATCAAAGAAAGGTTCAGCACTGTGAGTTGAATGCAAACATCACGAAGAGGGTTCTGAGAATGCTTCTGTCTTCTTTCTATAGGAAGTTATTTCCTTTACTACGGTAGGCCTCAAAGAAGTGCAATTATCCCCTTGCAGTTTCTACAAAAAGAGTGTTTCAAACCTGAACTATCAAAGAAAGGTTCCACACTGTGAGTTGAATGCACACATCACGAAGAAGGTTCTGAGAATGCTTCTGTTTAGTCAGCTGAAATTATCCCGTTTCCAACGAATTCCTCAGAGAGGTCCAAATATGCACTTGCAGATTCTGCAGAAAGTGTGTTTCTAAACTGCTACATCGCAAGGAATGTTCAGCTCTGTGAGTTCCACTCAATCATCCCAAAGAATTTTCTGAGAAAGCTTCTGTCTAGATGTCGTGTGAAAGATATACCCGTTTCGAACGAAGGACACAGAGTGGTCCAAATATCCACTTGTAGATCCTGCAAAAAGAGTGTTTCAAACGTGAACTTTGAAAGGAAAGTTCAACTCTGGGATTTGAATGCAAACATCACAAAGAAGATTCTGAGACTGCTTCTGTATAGTTTTTATGTGAAGATGATTCCGTTTCCAACGAAATCTTCAAAGAGGTCTACATGTCCCCTTGCAGATGCCACAGAAAGAGAGTTTCAAAACTGCGCTCTCAAAAGGAGTGTTCAACTCCGTGAGTTGAATGCAGTCATCACAGAGAAGCTTACTGAGAATGACTCTATCTAGTATTTAGGTGAAGATATTTCCTTTTCCACCACAAACCACAAAGCCCTCCAAACGTCCACTTGCAGATTCTAGAAAAAGAGTGTTTCATAGCTGCTCTTTCCAAAGGAAAGTTCAACTCTGGGAGTTGAATACAAACATCACCAAAAAGTTCCTGAGAATGCATCTGTCTAGTTTTTCTATGAAGCTATTCCCTTTACTACCATAGACCTCAAAGCGCTCCAAATCTCCACTTGCACATTCCACAACAAGAGTGTTTCCAAACTGCTCTATCAATAGGAATGTTCAACTCTGTGAGGTGAATGCAATCATCACAAAGCAGTTTCTGAGAATGCTTCCGTTTAGTTAGGTGCAGTTATCCCGTTTCCAACGAAATCCTCAGAGAGGTCCAAATATCCTCTTGTAGATTCTACAAAAAGTGTGTCTCAAACCTGCTCCATCCAAAGGAATGTTCAGCTCTGTGAGTTCAACTCAATCATCACAAAGTATTTTCTGAGAATGCTTTCTGTCTAGATTTTATGCGAAGATATACCCGTTTCGAACGAAGGCCACAGAGTGGTCCAAATATCCACTTGCAGATCCTACAAAAAGAGTGTTTCAAACCTGAACTATCAAAGGAAGGTTCAACTCTGGGATTTGAATGCAAACATCACCAAGAAGTTTCTGAGAATGCTTCTGTTTAGTTTTTATGTGAAGATATTCCCGTTTCCAAAGACATCTTCGGAGAGGTCCACATATCCACTTGCAGATTCCACAAAAAGAGAGTTTCAACACTGCTCTATCCATAGGAGGGTTCAACTCTGTGAGTTGAATGCAATCATCACAGAGAAGTTTCTGAGAAGGCTTCTCTCCAGTTTTTATGTGACCATAATTCGTTTTCCACCACAGGCCTGAAAGCGCTCCAAATGTCCACTTGTAGACACTACGAAAAGCATGTTTCAGAACTACTCTATGAAAAGCAATGTGAAACTCTGGGAGTTGAACACAAACATCACAGAGAAGTTTCTGAGAATGCTTCTGTTTTAGTTCTGTGCGTTTTATCCCGTTTCCAACGAAATCCTCAGAGAGGCCCAAATATCCACTTGCAGATTCCACAGAAAGAGTGATTGGAAACTGCTGTTTGAAAAGGAACCTTCAACTCTGTGAGTTGAATGCAATCATCACAAAGAAGTTTCTGACAATGCTTCTGTTTTAGTTCTGTGCGGTTTATCCCGTTTCCAACGAAATCCTCAGAGAGGACCAAATATCCACTTGCAGTTTCTACAAAAAGAGTGTTTCAAAGCTGCACTATCAAAGAAAGGTTCAGCACTGTGAGTTGAATGCAAACATCACGAAGAGGGCTCTGAGAATTCTTCTGTTTAGTTCTGTGCGGTTTATCCCGTTTCCAACGAAATCCTCAGAGAGGACCAAATATCCACTTGCAGTTTCTACAAGAAGAGTGTTTCAAAGCTGAACTATCAAAGAAAGGTTCAGCACTGTGAGTTGAATGCAAACATCACGAAGAGGGTTCTGAGAATGCTTCTGTCTTCTTTCTATAGGAAGTTATTTCCTTTACTACGGTAGGCCTCAAAGAAGTGCAATTATCCCCTTGCAGTTTCTACAAAAAGAGTGTTTCAAACCTGAACTATCAAAGAAAGGTTCCACACTGTGAGTTGAATGCAGACATCACGAAGAAGGTTCTGAGAATGCTTCTGTTTAGTCAGCTGAAATTATCCCGTTTCCAACGAATTCCTCAGAGAGGTCCACATATGCACTTGCAGATTCTGCAGAAAGTGTGTTTCTAAACTGCTACATCGCAAGGAATGTTCAGCTCTGTGAGTTCCACTCAATCATCCCAAAGGATTTTCTGAGAAAGCTTCTGTCTAGATGTCATGTGAAGATATACCCGTTTCGAACGAAGGACACAGAGTGGTCCAAATATCCACTTGTAGATCCTGCAAAAAGAGTGTTTCAAACGTGAACTTTGAAAGGCAAGTTCAACTCTGGGATTTGAATGCAAACATCACAAAGAAGATTCTGAGACTGCTTCTGTATAGTTTTTATGTGAAGATGATTCCGTTTCCAACGAAATCTTCAAAGAGGTCTACATGTCCCCTTGCAGATGCCACAGAAAGAGAGTTTCAAAACTGCGCTCTCAAAAGGAGTGTTCAACTCCGTGAGTTGAATGCAGTCATCACAGAGAAGCTTCTGAGAATGCTTCTATCTAGTATTTAGGTGAAGATATTTCCTTTTCCACCACAAACCACAAAGCCCTCCAAACGTCCACTTGCAGATTCTAGAAAAAGAGTGTTTCATAGCTGCTCTTTCCAAAGGAAAGTTCAACTCTGGGAGTTGAATACAAACATCACCAAAAAGTTACCTGAGAATGCATCTGTCTAGTTTTTCTATGAAGCTATTCCCTTTACTACCACAGGCCTCAAAGCGCTCCAAATCTCCACTTGCACATTCCACAACAAGAGTGTTTCCAAACTGCTCTATCAATAGGAATGTTCAACTCTGTGAGGTGAATGCAATCATCACAAAGCAGTTTCTGAGAATGCTTCCGTTTAGTTAGGTGCAGTTATCCCGTTTCCAACGAAATCCTCAGAGAGGTCCAAATATCCACTTGTAGATTCTGCAAAAAGTGTGTCTCAAACCTGCTCCATCCAAAGGAATGTTCAGCTCTGTGAGTTCAACTCAATCATCACAAAGTATTTTCTGAGAATGCTTCTGTCTAGATTTTATGCGAAGATATACCCGTTTCGAACGAAGGCCACAGAGTGGTCCAAATATCCACTTGCAGATCCTACAAAAAGAGTGTTTCAAACCTGAAGTATCAAAGGAAGGTTCAACTCTGGGATTTGAATGCAAACATCACCAAGAAGATTCTGAGAATGCTTCTGTTTAGTTTTTATGTGAAGATATTCCCGTTTCCAAAGACATCTTCGGAGAGGTCCACATATCCACTTGCAGATTCCACAAAAAGAGAGTTTCAACACTGCTCTATCCATAGGAGGGTTCAACTCTGTGAGTTGAATGCAATCATCACAGAGAAGTTTCTGAGAAGGCTTCTCTCCAGTTTTTATGTGACCATAATTCGTTTTCCACCACAGGCCTGAAAGCGCTCCAAATGTCCACTTGCAGACACTACGAAAAGCATGTTTCAGAACTACTCTATGAAAAGCAACGGTGAAACTCTGGGAGTTGAACACAAACATCACAGAGAAGTTTCTGAGAATGCTTCTGTTTTAGTTCTGTGCGTTTTATCCCGTTTCCAACGAAATCCTCAGAGAGGCCCAAATATCCACTTGCAGATTCCACAGAAAGAGTGATTGGAAACTGCTGTTTGAAAAGGAACCTTCAACTCTGTGAGTTGAATGCAATCATCACAAAGAAGTTTCTGACAATGCTTCTATCTAGCTTTTACGGGAAGATAATTCCTTTTCCACCACAGGCCTCAAAGCCCTCCAAATGTCCACTTGCAGATTCTGGAAAAAGAGTGTTTCAAAGCTTCTCTCTCGAAAGGAAAGTTCAACATCTGTGAGTTGAATGCAAGCATCACAAAGAAGTTTCTGAGAATGCTACTGTCTAGCTTTTATATGAAGCTATTTCCTTTACTACCAATAGTCCTCAAAGCATTCCATACCTCCACTTGCAGATTCTACACAAAGAGAGTTTCCAAACTGCTCTGTCAAAGGGAATGTTCAGCTCTGTGACTTGAATGCAATCATCACAAAGTAGTTTCTGAGAATGCTTCTGTTTTAGTTCTGTGCGGTTTATCCCGTTTCTATCGAAATCCTCAGAGAGGCCCAAATATCCACTTGCAGATTCTACAAATAGTGTGTTTCGAAACTGCTCCCTCCAAAGGAATGTTCAGCTCTGTAAGTTAAACTCAGTCATCACCAAGAGTTTTCTGTGAATGCTTCTGTTTAGTTCTGTGCGGTTTATCCCTTTTCCAACGAAATCCTCTGAGAGGACCAAGTATCCACTTGCAGTTTCTACAAAAAGAGTGTTTCAAAGCTGAACTATCAAAGAAAGTTTCAGCACTGTGAGTTGAATGCAAACATCACGAAGAGGGTTCTGAGAATGCTTCTGTCTTCTTTTTATAGGAAGTTATTTCCTTTACTATGGTTGGCCTCAAAGAAGTGCAATTATCCCCTTGCAGTCTCTACAAAAAGAGTGTTTCAAACCTGAACTATCAAAGAAAGGTTCCACACTGTGAGTTGAATGCAGACATCACGAAGAAGGTTCTGAGAATGCTTCTGTTTAGTCAGCTGAAATTATCCCGTTTCCAACGAATTCCTCAGAGAGGTCCAAATATGCACTTGCAGATTCTGCAGAAAGTGTGTTTCTAAACTGCTCCATCACAAGGAATGTTCAGCTCTGTGAGTTCAACTCAATCATCCCAAAGAATTTTCTGAGAAAGCTTCTGTCTAGATGTCATGTGAAGATATACCCGTTTCGAACGAAGGACACAGAGTGGTCCAAATATCCACTTGTAGATCCTGCAAAAAGAGTGTTTCAAACGTGAACTTTGAAAGGAAAGTTCAACTCTGGGATTTGAATGCAAACATCACAAAGAAGATTCTGAGACTGCTTCTGTATAGTTTTTATGTGAAGATGATTCCGTTTCCAACGAAATCTTCAAAGAGGTCTACATGTCCCCTTGCAGATGCCACAGAAAGAGAGTTTCAAAACTGCGCTCTCAAAAGGAGTGTTCAACTCCGTGAGTTGAATGCAGTCATCACAGAGAAGCTTCTGAGAATGCTTCTATCTAGTATTTAGGTGAAGATATTTCCTTTTCCACCACAAAACCACAAAGCCCTCCAAACGTCCACTTGCAGATTCTAGAAAAAGAGTGTTTCATAGCTGCTCTTTCCAAAGGAAAGTTCAACTCTGGGAGTTGAATACAAACATCACCAAAAAGTTCCTGAGAATGCATCTGTCTAGTTTTTCTATGAAGCTATTCCCTTTACTACCACAGGCCTCAAAGCGCTCCAAATCTCCACTTGCACATTCCACAACAAGAGTGTTTCCAAACTGCTCTATCAATAGGAATGTTCAACTCTGTGAGGTGAATGCAATCATCACAAAGCAGTTTCTGAGAATGCTTCCGTTTAGTTAGGTGCAGTTATCCCGTTTCCAACGAAATCCTCAGGAGAGGTCCAAATATCCCCTTGTAGATTCTACAAAAGGTGTGTCTCAAACCTGCTCCATCCAAAGGAATGTTCAGCTCTGTGAGTTAAACTCAATCATCACAAAGTATTTTCTGAGAATGCTTCTGTCTAGATTTTATGCGAAGATGTACCCGTTTCGAACGAAGGCCACAGAGTGGTCCAAATATCCACTTGCAGATCCTACAAAAAGAGTGTTTCAAACCTGAACTATCAAAGGAAGGTTCAACTCTGGGATTTGAATGCAAACATCACCAAGAAGTTTCTGAGAATGCTTCTGTTTAGTTTTTATGTGAAGATATTCCCGTTTCCAAAGACATCTTCGGAGAGGTCCACATATCCACTTGCAGATTCCACAAAAAGAGAGTTTCAACACTGCTCTATCCATAGGAGGGTTCAACTCTGTGAGTTGAATGCAATCATCACAGAGAAGTTTCTGAGAAGGCTCTCTCCAGTTTTTATGTGACCATAATTCGTTTTCCACCACAGGCCTGAAAGCGCTCCAAATGTCCACTTGCAGACACTACGAAAAGCATGTTTCAGAACTACTCTATGAAAAGCAACGTGAAACTCTGGGAGTTGAACACAAACATCACAGAGAAGTTTCTGAGAATGCTCTCTGTTTTAGTTCTGTGCGTTTTATCCCGTTTCCAACGAAATCCTCAGAGAGGCCCAAATATCCACTTGCAGATTCCACAGAAAGAGTGATTGGAAACTGCTGTTTGAAAAGGAACCTTCAACTCTGTGAGTTGAATGCAATCATCACAAAGAAGTTTCTGACAATGCTTCTATCTAGCTTTTACGGGAAGATAATTCCTTTTCCACCACAGGCCTCAAATCCCTCCAAATGTCCACTTGCAGATTCTGGAAAAAGAGTGTTTCAAAGCTTCTCTCTCGAAAGGAAAGTTCAACTCTGTGAGTTGAATGCAAGCATCACAAAGAAGTTTCTGAGAATGCTACTGTCTAGCTTTTATATGAAGCTATTTCCTTTACTACCATAGGTCTCAAAGCGGTCCATATCTCCACTTGCAGAATCTACACAAAGAGAGTTTCCAAACTGCTCTGTCAAAGGGAATGTTCAACTCTGTGACTTGAATGCAATCATCACAAAGTAGTTTCTGAGAATGCTTCTGTTTTAGTTCTGTGCGTTTTATCCCGTTTCCAACGAAATCCTCAGAGAGGCCCAAATATCCACTTGCAGATTCTACAAATAGTGTGTTTCGAAACTGCTCCATCCAAAGGAATGTTCAGCTCTGTGAGTTAAACTCAGTCGTCACCAAGAGTTTTCTGTGAATGCTTCTGTTTTAGTTCTGTGCGGTTTATCCCGTTTCCAACGAAATCCTCAGAGAGGACCAAACATCCACTTGCAGTTTCTACAAAAAGAGTGTTTCAAAGCTGCACTATCAAAGAAAGGTTCAGCACTGTGAGTTGAATGCAAACATCACGAAGAGGGCTCTGAGAATGCTTCTGTCTTCTTTCTATAGGAAGTTATTTCCTTTACTACGGTAGGCCTCAAAGAAGTGCAATTATCCCCTTGCAGTTTCTACAAAAAGAGTGTTTCAAACCTGAACTATCAAAGAAAGGTTCCACACTGTGAGTTGAATGCAGACATCACGAAGAAGTTCTGAGAATGCTTCTGTTTAGTCAGCTGAAATTATCCCGTTTCCAACGAATTCCTCAGAGAGGTCCAAATATGCACTTGCAGATTCTGCAGAAAGTGTGTTTCTAAACTGCTACATCGCAAGGAATGTTCAGCTCTGTGAGTTCCACTCAATCATCCCAAAGAATTTTCTGAGAAAGCTTCTGTCTAGATGTCATGTGAAGATATACCCGTTTCGAACGAAGGACACAGAGTGGTCCAAATATCCACTTGTAGATCCTGCAAAAAGAGTGTTTCAAACGTGAACTTTGAAAGGAAAGTTCAACTCTGGGATTTGAATGCAAACATCACAAAGAAGATTCAGAGACTGCTTCTGTATAGTTTTTATGTGAAGATGATTCCGTTTCCAACGAAATCTTCAAAGAGGTCTACATGTCCCCTTGCAGATGCCACAGAAAGAGAGTTTCAAAACTGCGCTCTCAAAAGGAGTGTTCAACTCCGTGAGTTGAATGCAGTCATCACAGAGAAGCTTCTGAGAATGCTTCTCTCTAGGATTTAGGTGAAGATATTTCCTTTTCCACCACAAACCACAAAGCCCTCCAAACGTCCACTTGCAGATTCTAGAAAAAGAGTGTTTCATAGCTGCTCTTTCCAAAGGAAAGTTCAACTCTGGGAGTTGAATACAAACATCACCAAAAAGTTCCTGAGAATGCATCTGTCTAGTTTTTCTATGAAGCTATTCCCTTTACTACCATAGGCCACAAAGCGCTCCAAATCTCCACTTGCACATTCCACAACAAGAGTGTTTCCAAACTGCTCTATCAATAGGAATGTTCAACTCTGTGAGGTGAATGCAATCATCACAAAGCAGTTTCTGAGAATGCTTCCGTTTAGTTAGGTGCAGTTATACCGTTTCCAACGAAATCCTCAGAGAGGTCCAAATATCCACTTGTAGATTCTACAAAAAGTGTGTCTCAAACCTGCTCCATCCAAAGGAATGTTCAGCTCTGTGAGTTAAACTCAATCATCACAAAGTATTTTCTGAGAATGCTTCTGTCTAGATTTTATGTGAAGATGTACCCGTTTCGAACGAAGGCCACAGAGTGGTCCAAATATCCACTTGCAGATCCTACAAAAAGAGAGTTTCAAACCTGAACTATCACAGGAAGGTTCAACTCTGGGATTTGAATGCAAACATCACCAAGAAGTTTCTGAGAATGCTTCTGTTTAGTTTTTATGTGAAGATATTCCCGTTTCCAAAGACATCTTCGGAGAGGTCCACATATACACTTGCAGATTCCACAAAAAGAGAGTTTCAACACTGCTCTATCCATAGGAGGGTTCAACTCTGTGAGTTGAATGCAATCATCACAGAGAAGTTTCTGAGAAGGCTTCTCTCCAGTTTTTATGTGACCATAAATCGTTTTCCACCACAGGCCTGAAAGCACTCCAAATGTCCACTTGCAGACACTACGAAAAGCATGTTTCAGAACTACTCTATGAAAAGCAATGTGAAATTCTGGGAGTTGAACACAAACATCACAGAGAAGTTTCTGAGAATGCTTCTGTTTAGCTTTTCTGTGAAGATTCTCCCGTTTCCAACGAAATCTTCAAAGAGGTCGAAATATCCACTTGCAGATTCCACAGAAAGAGTGATTGGAAACTGCTGTTTGAAAAGGAACCTTCAACTCTGTGAGTTGAATGCAATCATCACAAAGAAGTTTCTGACAATGCTTCTATCTAGCTTTTACGGGAAGTATAATTCCTTTTCCACCACAGGCCTCAAAGCTCCCCAAATGTCCACTTGCACATTCTGGAAAAAGAGTGTTTCAAAGCTTCTCTCTCGAAAGGAAAGTTCAACTCTGTGAGTTGAATGCAAGCATCACAAAGAAGTTTCTGAGAATGCTACTGTCTAGCTTTTATATGAAGCTATTTCCTTTACTACCATAGGCCTCAAAGCGGTCCATATCTCCACTTGCAGATTCTACACAAAGAGAGTTTCCAAACTGCTCTGTCAAAGGGAATGTTCAACTCTGTGACTTGAATGCAATCATCACAAAGTAGTTTCTGAGAATGCTTCTGTTTAGTTCTGTGCGGTTTATCCCGTTTCCAACGAAATCCTCAGAGAGGCCCAAATATCCACTTGCACATTCTACAAATAGTGTGTTTCGAAACTGCTCCATCCAAAGGAATGTTCAGCTCTGTGAGTTAAACTCAGTCGTCACCAAGAGTTTTCTGTGAATGCTTCTGTTTTAGTTCTGTGCGGTTTATCCCGTTTCCAACGAAATCCTCAGAGAGGTCCAAATATCTACTTGCAGTTTCTACAGAAAGACCGTTTCAAACCTGAACTATCAAAGAAAGGTTCAACACTGTGAGTTGAATGCAAACATCACGAAGAAGGTTCTGAGAATGCTTCTGTTTAGTTCTGTGCGGTTTATCCCGTTTCCAACGAAATCCTCAGAGAGGACCAAATATCCACTTGCAGTTTCTACAAGAAGAGTGTTTCAAAGCTGAACTATCAAAGAAAGGTTCAGCACTGTGAGTTGAATGCAAACATCACGAAGAGGGTTCTGAGAATGCTTCTGTCTTCTTTCTATAGGAAGTTATTTCCTTTACTACGGTAGGCCTCAAAGAAGTGCAATTATCCCCTTGCAGTTTCTACAAAAAGAGTGTTTCAAAGCTGAACTATCAAAGAAAGGTTCCACACTGTGAGTTGAATGCAGACATCACGAAGAAGGTTCTGTGAATGCTTCTGTTTAGTCAGCTGAAATTATCCCGTTTCCAACGAATTCCTCAGAGAGGTCCAAATATGCACTTGCAGATTCTGCAGAAAGTGTGTTTCTAAACTGCTACATCGCAAGGAATGTTCAGCTCTGTGAGTTCCACTCAATCATCCCAAAGAATTTTCTGAGAAAGCTTCTGTCTAGATGTCATGTGAAGATATACCCGTTTCGAACGAAGGACACAGAGTGGTCCAAATATCCACTTGTAGATCCTGCAAAAAGAGTGTTTCAAACGTGAACTTTGAAAGGAAAGTTCAACTCGGGGATTTGAATGCAAACATCACAAAGAAGATTCTGAGACTGCTTCTGTATAGTTTTTATGTGAAGATGATTCCGTTTCCAACGAAATCTTCCAAGAGGTCTACATGTCCCCTTGCAGATGCCACAGAAAGAGAGTTTCAAAACTGCGCTCTCAAAAGGAGTGTTCAACTCCGTGAGTTGAATGCAGTCATCACAGAGAAGCTTCTGAGAATGCTTCTATCTAGTATTTAGGTGAAGATATTTCCTTTTCCACCACAAACCACAAAGCCCTCCAAACGTCCACTTGCAGATTCTAGAAAAAGAGTGTTTCATAGCTGCTCTTTCCAAAGGAAAGTTCAACTCTGGGAGTTGAATACAAACATCACCAAAAAGTTCCTGAGAATGCATCTGTCTAGTTTTTCTATGAAGCTATTCCCTTTACTACCATAGGCCTCAAAGCGCTCCAAATCTCCACTTGCACATTCCACAACAAGAGTGTTTCCAAACTGCTCTATCAATAGGAATGTTCAACTCTGTGAGGTGAATGCAATCATCACAAAGCAGTTTCTGAGAATGCTTCCGTTTAGTTAGGTGCAGTTATCCCGTTTCCAACGAAATCCTCAGAGAGGTCCAAATATCCACTTGTAGATTCTACAAAAAGTGTGTCTCAAACCTGCACCATCCAAAGGAATGTTCAGCTCTGTGAGTTAAACTCAATCTTCACAAAGTATTTTCTGAGAATGCTTCTGTCTAGATTTTATGCGAAGATATACCCGTTTCGAACGAAGGCCACAGAGTGGTCCAAATATCCACTTGCAGATCCTACAAAAAGAGTGTTTCAAACCTGAACTATCAAAGGAAGGTTCAACTCTGGGATTTGAATGCAAACATCACCAAGAAGTTTCTGAGAATGCTTCTGTTTAGTTTTTATGTGAAGATATTCCCGTTTCCAAAGACATCTTCGGAGAGGTCCACATATCCACTTGCAGATTCCACAAAAAGAGAGTTTCAACACTGCTCTATCCATAGGAGGGTTCAACTCTGTGAGTTGAATGCAATCATCACAGAGAAGTTTCTGAGAAGGCTTCTCTCCAGTTTTTATGTGACCATAATTCGTTTTCCACCACAGGCCTGAAAGCGCTCCAAATGTCCACTTGCAGACACTACGAAAAGCATGTTTCAGAACTACTCTATGAAAAGCAACGTGAAACTCTGGGAGTTGAACACAAACATCACAGAGAAGTTTCTGAGAATGCTTCTGTTTTAGTTCTGTGCGTTTTATCCCGTTTCCAACGAAATCCTCAGAGAGGCCCAAATATCCACTTGCAGATTCCACAGAAAGAGTGATTGGAAACTGCTGTTTGAAAAGGAACCTTCAACTCTGTGAGTTGAATGCAATCATCACAAAGAAGTTTCTGACAATGCTTCTGTTTTAGTTCTGTGCGGTTTATCCCGTTTCCAACGAAATCCTCAGAGAGGACCAAACATCCACTTGCAGTTTCTACAAAAAGAGTGTTTCAAAGCTGCACTATCAAAGAAAGGTTCAGCACTGTGAGTTGAATGCAAACATCACGAAGAGGGCTCTGAGAATGCTTCTGTTTAGTTCTGTGCGGTTTATCCCGTTTCCAACGAAATCCTCAGAGAGGACCAAATATCCACTTGCAGTTTCTACAAGAAGAGTGTTTCAAAGCTGAACTATCAAAGAAAGGTTCAGCACTGTGAGTTGAATGCGAACATCACGAAGAGGGTTCTGAGAATGCTTCTGTCTTCTTTCTATAGGAAGTTATTTCCTTTACTACGGTAGGCCTCAAAGAAGTGCAATTATCCCCTTGCAGTTTCTACAAAAAGAGTGTTTCAAACCTGAACTATCAAAGAAAGGTTCCACACTGTGAGTTGAATGCAGACATCACGAAGAAGGTTCTGAGAATGCTTCTGTTTAGTCAGCTGAAATTATCCCGTTTCCAACGAATTCCTCAGAGAGGTCCAAATATGCACTTGCAGATTCTGCAGAAAGTGTGTTTCTAAACTGCTACATCGCAAGGAATGTTCAGCTCTGTGAGTTCCACTCAATCATCCCAAAGAATTTTCTGAGAAAGCTTCTGTCTAGATGTCGTGTGAAGTTATACCCGTTTCGAACGAAGGACACAGAGTGGTCCAAATATCCACTTGTAGATCCTGCAAAAAGAGTGTTTCAAACGTGAACTTTGAAAGGAAAGTTCAACTCTGGGATTTGAATGCAAACATCACAAAGAAGATTCTGAGACTGCTTCTGTATAGTTTTTATGTGAAGATGATTCCGTTTCCAACGAAATCTTCAAAGAGGTCTACATGTCCCCTTGCAGATGCCACAGAAAGAGAGTTTCAAAACTGCGCTCTCAAAAGGAGTGTTCAACTCCGTGAGTTGAATGCAGTCATCACAGAGAAGCTTCTGAGAATGCTTCTATCTAGTATTTAGGTGAAGATATTTCCTTTTCCACCACAAACCACAAAGCCCTCCAAACGTCCACTTGCAGATTCTAGAAAAAGAGTGTTTCATAGCTGCTCTTTGCAAAGGAAAGTTCAACTCTGGGAGTTGAATAAAAACATCACCAAAAAGTTCCTGAGAATGCATCTGTCTAGTTTTTCTATGAAGCTATTCCCTTTACTACCATAGGCCTCAAAGCGCTCCAAATCTCCACTTGCACATTCCACAACAAGAGTGTTTCCAAACTGCTCTATCAATAGGAATGTTCAACTCTGTGAGGTGAATGCAATCATCACAAAGCAGTTTCTGAGAATGCTTCCGTTTAGTTAGGTGCAGTTATCCCGTTTCCAACGAAATCTTCAGAGAGGTCCAAATATCCACTTGTAGATTCTACAAAAAGTGTGTCTCAAACCTGCTCCATCCAAAGGAATGTTCAGCTCTGTGAGTTAAACTCAATAATCACAAAGTATTTTCTGAGAATGCTTCTGTCTAGATTTTATGCGAAGATGTACCCGTTTCGAACGAAGGCCACAGAGTGGTCCAAATATCCACTTGCAGATCCTACAAAAAGAGTGTTTCAAACCTGAACTCTCAAAGGAAGGTTCAACTCTGGGATTTGAATGCAAACATCACCAAGAAGTTTCTGAGAATGCTTCTGTTTAGTTTTTATGTGAAGATATTCCCGTTTCCAAAGACATCTTCGGAGAGGTCCACATATCCGCTTGCAGATTCCACAAAAAGAGAGTTTCAACACTGCTCTATCCAGAGGAGGGTTCAACTCTGTGAGTTGAATGCAATCATCACAGAGAAGTTTCTGAGAAGGCTTCTCTCCAGTTTTTA
This sequence comes from Homo sapiens, assembly GCF_000001405.40. Lineage (NCBI taxonomy): Eukaryota > Metazoa > Chordata > Mammalia > Primates > Hominidae > Homo > Homo sapiens. Next base: position 25,743,158 of record NC_000017.11, on the reverse strand, counting down.
TGTGACCATAATTCGTTTTCCACCACAGGCCTGAAAGCGCTCCAAATGTCCACTTGCAGACACTACGAAAAGCATGTTTCAGAACTACTCTATGAGAAGCAATGTGAAACTCTGGGAGTTGAACACAAACATCACAGAGAAGTTTCTGAGAATGCTTCTGTTTAGCTTTTCTGTGAAGATTCTCCCGTTTCCAACGAAATCTTCAAAATAGGTCCAAATATCCACTTGCAGATTCCACAGAAAGAGTGATTGGAAACTGCTGTTTGAAAAGGAACCTTCAACTCTGTGAGTTGAATGCAATCATCACAAAGAAGTTTCTGACAATGCTTCTATCTAGCTTTTACGGGAAGATAATTCCTTTTCCACCACAGGCCTCAAAGCTCCCCAAATGTCCACTTGCACATTCTGGAAAAAGAGTGTTTCAAAGCTTCTCTCTCGAAAGGAAAGTTCAACTCTGTGAGTTGAATGCAAGCATCACAAAGAAGTTTCTGAGAATGCTACTGTCTAGCTTTTATATGAAGCTATTTCCTTTACTTCCATAGGCCTCAAAGCGGTCCATATCTCCACTTGCAGATTCTACACAAAGAGAGTTTCCAAACTGCTCTGTCAAAGGGAATGTTCAACTCTGTGACTTGAATGCAATCATCACAAAGTAGTTTCTGAGAATGCTTCTGTTTTAGTTCTGTGCGTTTTATCCCGTTTCCAACGAAATCCTCAGAGAGGCCCAAATATCCACTTGCAGATTCTACAAATAGTGTGTTTCGAAACTGCTCCATCCAAAGGAATGTTCAGCTCTGTGAGTTAAACTCAGTCGTCACCAAGAGTTTTCTGTGAATGCTTCTGTTTTAGTTCTGTGCGGTTTATCCCGTTTCCAACGAAATCCTCAGAGAGGTCCAAATATCTACTTGCAGTTTCTACAGAAAGACCGTTTCAAAGCTGAACTATCAAAGAAAGGTTCAACACTGTGAGTTGAATGCAAACATCACGAAGAGGGTTCTGAGAATGCTTCTGTTTAGTTCTGTGCGGTTTATCCCGTTTCCAACGAAATCCTCAGAGAGGACCAAATATCCACTTGCAGTTTCAACAAGAAGAGTGTTTCAAAGCTGAACTATCAAAGAAAGGTTCAGCACTGTGAGTTGAATGCAAACATCACGAAGAGGGTTCTGAGAATGCTTCTGTCTTCTTTCTATAGGAAGTTATTTCCTTTACTACGGTAGGCCTCAAAGAAGTGCAATTATCCCCTTGCAGTTTCTACAAAAAGAGTGTTTCAAACCTGAACTATCAAAGAAAGGTTCCACACTGTGAGTTGAATGCAGACATCACGAAGAAGGTTCTGAGAATGCTTCTGTTTAGTCAGCTGAAATTATCCCGTTTCCAACGAATTCCTCAGAGAGGTCCACATATGCACTTGCAGATTCTGCAGAAAGTGTGTTTCTAAACTGCTACATCGCAAGGAATGTTCAGCTCTGTGAGTTCCACTCAATCATCCCAAAGAATTTTCTGAGAAAGCTTCTGTCTAGATGTCGTGTGAAGATATACCCGTTTCGAACGAAGGACACAGAGTGGTCCAAATATCCACTTGTAGATCCTGCAAAAAGAGTGTTTCAAACGTGAACTTTGAAAGGAAAGTTCAACTCTGGGATTTGAATGCAAACATCACAAAGAAGATTCTGAGACTGCTTCTGTATAGTTTTTATGTGAAGATGATTCCGTTTCCAACGAAATCTTCAAAGAGGTCTGCATGTCCCCTTGCAGATGCCACAGAAAGAGAGTTTCAAAACTGCGCTCTCAAAAGGAGTGTTCAACTCCGTGAGTTGAATGCAGTCATCACAGAGAAGCTTCTGAGAATGCTTCTGTCTAGTATTTAGGTGAAGATATTTCCTTTTCCACCACAAACCACAAAGCCCTCCAAACGTCCACTTGCAGATTCTAGAAAAAGAGTGTTTCATAGCTGCTCTTTCCAAAGGAAAGTTCAACTCTGGGAGTTGAATACAAACATCACCAAAAAGTTCCTGAGAATGCATCTGTCTAGTTTTTCTATGAAGCTATTCCCTTTACTACCATAGGCCCCAAAGCGCTCCAAATCTCCACTTGCACATTCCACAAGAAGAGTGTTTCCAAACTGCTCTATCAATACGAATGTTCAACTCTGTGAGGTGAATGCAATCATCACAAAGCAGTTTCTGAGAATGCTTCCGTTTAGTTAGGTGCAGTTATCCCGTTTCCAACGAAATCCTCAGAGAGGTCCAAATATCCACTTGTAGATTCTACAAAAAGTGTGTCTCAAACCTGCTCCATCCAAAGGAATGGTCAGCTCTGTGATTTAAACTCAATCATCACAAAGTATTTTCTGAGAATGCTTCTGTCTAGATTTTATGCGAAGATATACCCGTTTCAAACGAAGGCCACAGAGTGGTCCAAATAGCCACTTGCAGATCCTACAAAAAGAGTGTTTCAAACCTGAACTATCAAAGGAAGGTTCAACTCTGGGATTTGAATGCAAACATCACCAAGAAGTTTCTGAGAATGCTTCTGTTTAGTTTTTATGTGAAGATATTCCCGTTTCCAAAGACATCTTCGGAGAGGTCCACATATCCACTTGCAGATTCCACAAAAAGAGAGTTTCAACACTGCTCTATCCATAGGAGGGTTCAACTCTGTGAGTTGAATGCAATCATCACAGAGAAGTTTCTGAGAAGGCTTCTCTCCAGTTTTTATGTGACCATAATTCGTTTTCCACCACAGGCCTGAAAGCGCTCCAAATGTCCACTTGCAGACACTACGAAAAGCATGTTTCAGAACTACTCTATGAAAAGCAACGTGAAACTCTGGGAGTTGAACACAAACATCACAGAGAAGTTTCTGAGAATGCTTCTGTTTAGCTTTTCTGTGAAGATTCTCCCGTTTCCAACGAAATCTTCAAAGAGGTCCAAATATCCACTTGCAGATTCCACAGAAAGAGTGTTTGGAAACTGCTGTTTGTAAAGGAACCTTCATCTCTGTGAGTTGAATGCAATCATCACAAAGAAGTTTCTGACAATGCTTCTATCTAGCTTTTACGGGAAGTTAATTCCTTTTCCACCACAGGCCTCAAAGCCCTCCAAATGTCCACTTGCAGATTCTGGAAAAAGAGTGTTTCAAAGCTTCTCTCTCGAAAGGAAAGTTCAACTCTGTGAGTTGAATGCAAGCATCACAAAGAAGTTTCTGAGAATGCTACTGTCTAGCTTTTATATGAAGCTATTTCCTTTACTACCATAGGCCTCAAAGCGGTCCATATCTCCACTTGCAGATTCTACACAAAGAGAGTTTCCAAACTGCTCTGTCAAAGGGAATGTTCAACTCTGTGACTTGAATGCAATCATCACAAAGTAGTTTCTGAGAATGCTTCTGTTTTAGTTCTGTGCGGTTTATCCCGTTTCCAACGAAATCCTCAGAGAGGCCCACATATCCACTTGCAGATTCTACAAATAGTGTGTTTTGAAACTGCTCCATCCAAAGGAATGTTCAGCTCTGTGAGTTAAACTCAGTCGTCACCAAGAGTTTTCTGTGAATGCTTCTGTTTTAGTTCTGTGCGGGTTATCCCGTTTCCAACGAAATCCTCAGAGAGGTCCAAATATCTACTTGCAGTTTCTACAGAAAGACCGTTTCAAACCTGAACTATCAAAGAAAGGTTCAACACTGTGAGTTGAATGCAAACATCACGAAGAAGGTTCTGAGAATGCTTCTGTTTAGTTCTGTGCGGTTTATCCCGTTTCCAACGAAATCCTCAGAGAGGACCAAATATCCACTTGCAGTTTCTACAAGAAGAGTGTTTCAAAGCTGCACTATCAAAGAAAGGTTCAGCACTGTGAGTTGAATGCAAACATCACGAAGAGGGTTCTGAGAATGCTTCTGTCTTCTTTCTATAGGAAGTTATTTCCTTTACTACGGTAGGCCTCAAAGAAGTGCAATTATCCCCTTGCAGTTTCTACAAAAAGAGTGTTTCAAACCTGAACTATCAAAGAAAGGTTCCACACTGTGAGTTGAATGCAGACATCACGAAGAAGGTTCTGAGAATGCTTCTTGTTTAGTCAGCTGAAATTATCCCGTTTCCAACGAATTCCTCAGAGAGGTCCAAATATGCACTTGCAGATTCTGCAGAAAGTGTGTTTCTAAACTGCTACATCGCAAGGAATGTTCAGCTCTGTGAGTTCCACTCAATCATCCCAAAGAATTTTCTGAGAAAGCTTCTGTCTAGATGTCGTGTGAAGATATACCCGTTTCGAACGAAGGACACAGAGTGGTCCAAATATCCACTTGTAGATCCTGCAAAAAGAGTGTTTCAAACGTGAACTTTGAAAGGAAAGTTCAACTCTGGGATTTGAATGCAAACATCACAAAGAAGATTCTGAGACTGCTTCTGTATAGTTTTTATGTGAAGATGATTCCGTTTCCAACGAAATCTTCAAAGAGGTCTACATGTCCCCTTGCAGATGCCACAGAAAGAGAGTTTCAAAACTGCGCTCTCAAAAGGAGTGTTCAACTCCGTGAGTTGAATGCAGTCATCACAGAGAAGCTTCTGAGAATGCTTCTATCTAGTATTTAGGTGAAGATATTTCCTTTTCCACCACAAACCACAAAGCCCTCCAAACGTCCACTTGCAGATTCTAGAAAAAGAGTGTTTCATAGCTGCTCTTTCCAAAGGAAAGTTCAACTCTGGGAGTTGAATACAAACATCACCAAAAAGTTCCTGAGAATGCATCTGTCTAGTTTTTCTATGAAGCTATTCCCTTTACTACCATAGACCTCAAAGCGCTCCAAATCTCCACTTGCACATTCCACAACAAGAGTGTTTCCAAACTGCTCTATCAATAGGAATGTTCAACTCTGTGAGGTGAATGCAATCATCACAAAGCAGTTTCTGAGAATGCTTCCGTTTAGTTAGGTGCAGTTATCCCGTTTCCAACGAAATCCTCAGAGAGGTCCAAATATCCACTTGTAGATTCTACAAAAAGTGTGTCTCAAACCTGCTCCATCCAAAGGAATGTTCAGCTCTGTGAGTTCAACTCAATCATCACAAAGTATTTTCTGAGAATGCTTCTGTCTAGATTTTATGCGAAGATGTACCCGTTTCGAACGAAGGCCACAGAGTGGTCCAAATATCCACTTGCAGATCCTACAAAAAGAGTGTTTCAAACCTGAACTGTCAAAGGAATGTTCAACTCTGGGATTTGAATGCAAACATCACCAAGAAGTTTCTGAGAATGCTTCTGTTTAGTTTTTATGTGAAGATATTCCCGTTTCCAAAGACATCTTCGGAGAGGTCCACATATCCACTTGCAGATTCCACAAAAAGAGAGTTTCAACACTGCTCTATCCATAGGAGGGTTCAACTCTGTGAGTTGAATGCAATCATCACAGAGAAGTTTCTGAGAAGGCTTCTCTCCAGTTTTTATGTGACCATAATTCGTTTTCCACCACAGGCCTGAAAGCGCTCCAAATGTCCACTTGCAGACACTACGAAAAGCATGTTTCAGAACTACTCTATGAAAAGCAACGTGAAACTCTGGGAGTTGAACACAAACATCACAGAGAAGTTTCTGAGAATGCTTCTGTTTTAGTTCTGTGCGTTTTATCCCGTTTCCAACGAAATCCTCAGAGAGGCCCAAATATCCACTTGCAGATTCCACAGAAAGAGTGATTGGAAACTGCTGTTTGAAAAGGAACCTTCAACTCTGTGAGTTGAATGCAATCATCACAAAGAAGTTTCTGACAATGCTTCTATCTAGCTTTTACGGGAAGTTAATTCCTTTTCCACCACAGGCCTCAAAGCCCTCCAAATGTCCACTTGCAGATTCTGGAAAAAGAGTGTTTCAAAGCTTCTCTCTCGAAAGGAAAGTTCAACTCTGTGAGTTGAATGCAAGCATCACAAAGAAGTTTCTGAGAATGCTACTGTCTAGCTTTTATATGAAGCTATTTCCTTTACTACCATAGTCCTCAAAGCGGTCCATATCTCCACTTGCAGATTCTACACAAAGAGAGTTTCCAAACTGCTCTGTCAAAGGGAATGTTCAACTCTGTGACTTGAATGCAATCATCACAAAGTAGTTTCTGAGAATGCTTCTGTTTTAGTTCTGTGCGGTTTATCCCGTTTCCAACGAAATCCTCAGAGAGGCCCACATATCCACTTGCACATTCTACAAATAGTGTGTTTTGAAACTGCTCCATCCAAAGGAATTATCAGCTCTGTGAGTTAAACTCAGTCGTCACCAAGAGTTTTCTGTGAATGCTTCTGTTTTAGTTCTGTGCGGTTTATCCCGTTTCCAACGAAATCCTCAGCAGAGGTCCAAATATCTACTTGCAGTTTCTACAGAAAGACCGTTTCAAACCTGAACTATCAAAGAAAGGTTCAACACTGTGAGTTGAATGCAAACATCACGAAGAAGGTTCTGAGAATGCTTCTGTTTAGTTCTGTGCGGTTTATCCCGTTTCCAACGAAATCCTCAGAGAGGACCAAATATCCACTTGCAGTTTCTACAAGAAGAGTGTTTCAAAGCTGAACTATCAAAGAAAGGTTCAGCACTGTGAGTTGAATGCAAACGTCACGAAGAGGGTTCTGAGAATGCTTCTGTCTTCTTTCTATAGGAAGTTATTTCCTTTACTACGGTAGGCCTCAAAGAAGTGCAATTATCCCCTTGCAGTTTCTACAAAAAGAGTGTTTCAAACCTGAACTATCAAAGAAAGGTTCCACACTGTGAGTTGAATGCAGACATCACGAAGAAGGTTCTGAGAATGCTTCTGTTTAGTCAGCTGAAATTATCCCGTTTCCAACGAATTCCTCAGAGAGGTCCAAATATGCACTTGCAGCTTCTGCAGAAAGTGTGTTTCTAAACTGCTACATCGCAAGGAATGTTCAGCTCTGTGAGTTCAACTCAATCATGCCAAAGAATTTTCTGAGAAAGCTTCTGTCTAGATGTCATGTGAAGATATACCCGTTTCGAACGAAGGACACAGAGTGGTCAAATATCCACTTGTAGATCCTGCAAAAAGAGTGTTTCAAACGTGAACTTTGAAAGGAAAGTTCAACTCTGGGATTTGAATGCAAACATCACAAAGAAGATTCTGAGACTGCT